>NC_000005.10:86473443-86776473 GCF_000001405.40 Homo sapiens
TGTTCTATAAATGTCTGGCAATGAACAAATTGCCATGGGCCAGTTGCAGATGACTCAGTATAGTCTGTATTATGTATCCCTTATGCTAAAGAATTCACAATCAGGTTCTTGAATGTATTTCAATTGGTTGCAATACTTAGTTGGTAATATTCATGTCACATACACATAAAATTATATTTTCTAAGAAATATAGATATTCAAAATGTATTTACATCTTAGTTACTTTGAATGAGACTTAGAGATTTTCACACATGATTATAATCAAGTATTTTAAGTAAAAGTAAACTAGTTTTATGTAGGTTATGAAATATAGGAGGAATATCTCTAGCACATGAGGAATCACTTTCCCATATTAGAAAGACTACTTCCTTTCAAGGAAGAGTTTATCAATAATTAATAATTTCCTCCTCAGTTAAAAAATGTTTTACACATTCAAAAAGTAAAAAAGAATACAAAATCAATGAGAAAATATTCAAATATATAAACTTATATAAAGTGAAAATAAAAGACTCAATCACCTCTAGAAAAAAACCCTGATTGACATCTGGATATGTGTACTTCAGTATAATTTTCCGAGTCCATTTGTGCATTATTTTAAATTGTCTATATTTTTGTGTAAGTTGCTCTTTTAAAAAACATTAATAATGTATTGTGGTCATTAATCCACAATCATTATGCATACAGATTGACTGTCCCTTTTAACAATTGCATAACAATCTATCAAAGAACATCTTTTATTTATGGCCTTCTAAATTATTTCCACCATTGTTTTTATATATTCAGTGTGTGTGTGTGTGTGTGTGTGTGTGTGTGTGTGTGTGTATACACATTATACATATATAAAATGTATATGAAATGAGTATATTCACAAGGGTAATGCTTTATATAGATATAAAAGTATATTAAAATATCTAATATATATGTATCTATATATGTATACATACTATATAAAACATATATATAATCTGTTTTATTCATTACAACATGCCTATACACATGTATGTCTTGCCTCTATTAAAAATGTCTTTGAAGCATATTATAAAAAGCCTAATTGCATGTCATCAATGAAGATATATTTAATTCCAAAACTATATATATACATATATATATATATGATTATTTTTACCTATGGAAAGAAAAATACTGCTTTTCCCAGATATACATTATTACAGTTAAATAAAGCAAAGGAGCAAATGATTTCTAAAGAACATTGTTCAAGAAGAGTAACAACAGATTCTCTGCAAGATAATAATCTTCCAAATATGTTTATTTCACTAAGTACCATGATTCACACATCTCTTGGGTAGTGCACTTACTTATAATGAAGAATAAATCAGGTTAAAATTACTGTAAATCAAGTTTCTGCAGATGAATTTCTCTAGCTGCAGAAATGCTAATATGACCACCTGCTTCATTTTATCAAGCTGGTTTTCATTAATCTACAGATGTTATTTTTCCACTGCATACTATTTGAGAAATGATTGTGATTGGGTGGCTGTCACTTTGACAGTGGAGAAGCCACACCACCTGTTTGTTGGGAAAATACACAAAGTAATGTTTCCTTTTAAAGGAACTGCTGTAGAATGAATTTTAAAACATCAATGTGAGAGTAATAAATCATACTTTATGCTAAATTAAAATATATATGAGGAGACTATGAAAGCCATACGTTTAAAAATTTCACAGAAATGGAAAAAAAAGACTAATGTTAAAAATGAGCTAAAAGTAATAGGAAGTCAAATATTGGGGATAAATATTTTTAATATTATCATTTTGAGTTGCTTTCAGAAAGATTCAGCGTAAGAAAACATCCATCTAAATTTATCCCTAATTCAGTCATTTTCCCCAAAGTAAATTAAAAAGTATCAAGAAAATCATATGTAAAAAGATTCAATTCACTTCATACTTTTTCTCATACTTAGTAGAAGATTAATATTAGAAATTTAGAGATTTTATACATAATGTCACAACCATAAATCAGAATTAAGAAATCTGCCAATGTTGCTTAATCTTTGCATATTTTAAACAAATACTTACTAAATAAGAATGATCATTTGCCCTGTGCATAACCAATAGTTTATGACTAAATATAGGAATTGCCAATATTCAGAAGTCCTTATGCAGCCAGCTTAATGGACCTCATTTTGTGCCTCATTATATGAAACACATGTATTTCCTTTTAGCACCTGTCTAAAAATATGTAAGAGATTTCCTTTTTAGTTTATATTTGTTTTAAAAATATCTCTACATGTATGTACAATGTTAACACATATAAATATTTACCCTTTTGAGAAACATTCAATTTACACTCCATCTGATATACACTCATGTATATGGTGTGAGGTAGGGGTTAGATTCATTTTGTTTTAATGTGAATATCCAGTTAATCAAAATATTATTAAAGTGAATATCTATTTCCTCTGTACCACAGTGTCATCTCTGTCATAAATTATATGACTAAATTTTCAGGCCTAATTCTGAATTTTCTATTCTGTTTTCTTTTTGTTTGCCTAACCTTTTACCAATAACACACTGTCTTAATATTGCATATATATTTTTGTAAAATATAGTAGTGTAAATTCTTCATTCTTCTTCAAGATGTTCTTAGCTATTCTAGACCCTTTGCATCTTCATAAAAATTTTAGCATTACTTGATGAATTTTCACAAAGAAATGCTTGCTGTAAATTTGACTAGAATGGCATTAAACTATACACCACTTTGGGAAGAATTGAGTTCTTTATAATATTGAGTCTACCAATCCACAGCCAAGATATGTTCCTCCAATTCATTTTCCTTAATTTATCTCAATACAGTTTGCTTTCTGTTAAAAGCCCTGTACATTTGTATTTTTTAGAATTGTTTCTAGGTGATATATATTTTAAATACTATTGTAAATTATATGTTCTTTAAATTTTATTAAAAATCTTTGCTTATATATAAAGTACAATGTTTTTTAAAAATACATTTGAACTTACATGAACTTACTAATTTTACCTATAAATTATAATATTTTCTCTGTAAGCTGTTTTGATTTTTCTGTGCACACAATAATACCATCTGAAAATAATCATTTGTTTCTTCCTTGTATTTCTTTTTCTTGCTAGTGCCTACTGTACAATATTAAACAGAAGCATCAGTTGCAAATATTTCTACCTCCTCCAAAATTTAATGGGATAGCTTTTTACTACTGAGTATATTTGCTGTGATATTTTTGTAGATACTCTTTATTAAATTAAGGAAGTTCCTAATTATATCTAAGTTGCTAAGAATTTTTTTATCAATGAGTATTGAATTATATTAAAAGCTTTTTCTGCATTCATTGGGATAAATGTATGGTTTTTCTCCTTCAGTCTGTTAATTTGGTGAATTACACTAATTTACATTTAAATGCTAAATGAAACATGCATTTCTGAAATAAACCACCTCAGCTATGATTTATTATATTTTAGGTATTTCACATTCATTTAGGATTTGATTTTGTTAAAATTGTCTGCATACATATTAATGAGAAGCATTGGTCTATAAATGATCTCTTTGTAATAAACTTTTCCAGTTCTCACGTCTTCTCAAAAATTGAATATTACAAATGAATTTCAAATCCTCACTGCCATGACTACCATGCATTAATTCGTTCATTCATTCCTTTATTCTAAAACTCTGTTGAGAGCCTGTCTTATGTCAGGCACTGAAATAAAATTTTCCCATTTAATAATACATTTATGCCTCCCAATAATGTCATACGTATTATTAGTATCTTCAGCTTTTAAAAAAGGAATGAAGTTGAGTAAAACTGTTCCAATACTGCATAGCTCATAGATGGTAGAACCAACTTTTGAAATAACGTTACTGTTTGAAGGTGTTCAGGTTCTTGCCATCTTGAACAAAGAATTGGACAAAACACACAAACAAAGCAAGAAAATAATGAAGCAAGAAAAGCAGAAATTTTTTGAAAATGAAAGTACACTCCACAGGGGGAGAGCGGGCCTAGCATAGGGGTTCAAGAGTCCCATTACAGAATTTTCTGGGGTTTAAATAACCTCTAGAGGTTTCCAATGGTTACTTGGTGTATACCCTATATAAATGAAGGGGATGAAGTAAAACCACAGTCATTTACTAGATATATGCCCTATGTAGATGGAGAGGACGTTTCTTGTCATAGCTGAAGAGTTTCCATTTGATTTAGTTCTAGGAAGTCAGCATGAATCAGCCTATATTCCCTGCCTCCAGATCCTATTCTTCTGCCTCAATAACACTATAACTAGCTTAATGCCTGGGACACAGTAGATATAATGTAGATAGACACAGTCGGAAGGGAGAGAATGAAAAAGAAAGGGAGAAGAAAAAATGGAAAATAATGATTAATAACAGATTAGGGCTGGGTGCAGTGGCTTATGCCTACAATATCAGCACTTTGGGAGGCCAAGGGGGATCACTTGAAGTCAGGAGTTCCAGACAAGCATGGCCAACATGGTGAAGCCTCATCTCTACTAAAAATATAAAAATTAACTGGGCATGATAATGCATGCCTGTAGTCTCAGTTACTCTGGAGGCTGAGGCAGGAGAATTGCTTGAACCCAAGAGGCAGAGGTTGCAGTGAGCTGAGATCAGGTCACTGCACTCCAGCCTGGGTGACAGAGTGAGACTCCAACCAAAAAAAAAAAAAAAAAAATTAACAGATTATTATTTCCCAAGTAAGAGACAAAATGTCCATAATTAAGTTATAAGCAATATTTCACAAGTGACCTAAAATATATGCACATAAAAAATAACTGAGTTTATTCTAATTGTTGCTCTTTTGTTTATTATTTTTAGTCCTATAAAATTTATGATGTATTAACGGCTGCTTACATTATTAATTTCTTGGTACTTCACACTCACTCAAATTGAAGAAATTACCTATTGACAATAAATATTATAGTGTAGAAAGAATTCAACAAATTCATCTTTCAGATAACAACCGGGTGCTTCGCCATTTCATAGCTCTATTGTTTTTATGCCCTTGCCTCATTTCACTAAACAGAAAGCATTCTTATAAGTGAGGATTTTGTCTTATTTAATATTATTCAGTATTTGTCTCATTTAAAGTAACATCCTTTAAAATACACATGACCTCCCAAAAAAGAGATTTAGTGAATTCTAACCGAAATGATATTGGCAGTTATTGTACTGAGCAGTTAGTATTTTCCAAAACTATATTTGTGTGAAATAAGTTTTTTGAATATGGGTAATTGGGTGAATATTACTGTCATATGATATCAAAAGACAAAATCCGAACTTATTTAATTAAATAATTGGCTTTTATTTGTGATTCATGAATTGGGAAACATCTCCTCTAAAATAAAGAGGTACTACTCTGGGCGTGGCAGAAAAGCCAGTTCTTACAAGATAGCTTCAGCAGAAAAAAGGAAATAACAAAAAGCAGATTGATTAACATCAGGTTAGTTCAGGTAACTTTCTTTAAGTGTTAAAGCAGAGGGGACTTCTTTATCATGCTAGCTAAAACTGGCATGTTTGGGAATTCAGCAATCATCTTTCTCCAGGTTTCTCAAAAGTTCAGATAAACAATTTGGTTTTCGTTTGGTGATGTGAAACTTTAGCATGAGTGACTCCATTTGGGTTTAGTCCACTGAGGCCTAGTGCAGGAGCTCAGCCCAAAACAATGGCCTTCCATAAAATGTATTTAGCAATGATAATTACTTGATGACTTTTTGCTTTAGTATATATGTAGTTTTAAAATCAACATAATTTCTAACATCTTAAGAAAAAAGCAACAGGGTAAGATTCTTCGCACACATCAAATATCTTTTACAAGAAAATGCTGAATTTACTAACATATATAGGTGTTGTGAAGATGTTAAATGAGCTTAATGTATAGTTTTTTTTTTCTACTGGTTCAATTATTCTGGAAAAATATTCAATGCTAGTGTTTATTTTGTCTCCCAGAAATGAGTCAAGAAACTCGTATCTGCAATTTAGTGTATTATCTTACCAATTCCTGTGTAGTTGGTACCAAACAAACCAGGATTAGAATTCTTGAGCAATTTTATGAATACTAATTTGTTTTGTTGTTTAATTCCTGGAAGTGTAATTAATGTACAGTTTTCATATAAATAATATGTAAGATATAAATATAATTTTTAAATAGCATATTACACGAGATTATATGTGTTGGAGTATATGTACAATATTGGCAATTGCATGTAGATCAAGAGAATGATCAGTTTTTACCAAAATAGAAAACAGGATTTTACATTGATCAAAAAAACATAAATTTTCTGTAAAGTTGTGTAATGCTGTAGTAAAGTGACAGTAAAAACAAAATGTCTTTAAAAATACTGTCAGCCCTCTTTGTCCGTTGGTTTCACATAGTGGATTCAACCAACGTTGGATTGAAAATATTTAGAAAAAAATGGATTTTTGTGTCCACACTGAACATACACAGACTTTTTCTTGTCATTATTCCCTACAAAATACCGTATAACAACTACATGCATAGTGTTTACATGCATGTATTATTTACATGTATTAGGTATTATAAGTAATCTAGAGATGATTTAAACTATACAGGAGTATATGTGAGGTTATATGCAAATACTATGCCACTTAAGTATCCAATGATTCTAGTATCCAGAGAAGGTCCTGGAACCAATAGCCCATGGATACTGAAGGACGACTGTACAAAGATTCAGAGTCTTATTTTAGATACCCCTCTATATGTATATACTATAAAACCAGAATACATATTCACCAAACTTAATTTCTTAGGAAAACACTAATCATTTTTGATAAACACCAGAAATAATAAGATAAGCTTCAAACATATCTAGTTTATATTACAGCTTGTTATGATACTCTTCTGCGATATGGCAGGTACTCAATGGATATTTGCTGGATCAATGAATAGTT
Organism: Homo sapiens; assembly: GCF_000001405.40. NCBI lineage: Eukaryota > Metazoa > Chordata > Mammalia > Primates > Hominidae > Homo > Homo sapiens. The sequence continues at coordinate 86,480,351 of NC_000005.10, forward strand.
TGTGAATGCTTGGCCCATGTTAGGTATCATATTTGTACTTCTAAAATTGAAAACCAGTATGGTCTACAATATTTTGATATAATTTTCTTCCCTCTGGGTAAAATACACATGCATGTTTTCTCCAATGTGCACAAGCATTTTCTTGTATGAAACTAACATTTTGCCCTCAAACAAGGAGTTTTTTATTCAACATTAAGACCCATTTATATTTTTGGCTCACAGATATATGGAGTTCTGTTTTATATCCTAACTACCTGGCTTTTTTGATATCTTAATCCAAATATTTTCTTTTAAAAATGTTTTCAACAAAATGCTTAACATTATTGTGTTTACCTATGTGTGTTTTTAAGATGTAAGATATGTTGAAAATCCTATTTCACAGGTTTGTAAATTATTAAAGCACATTCTCCTACTATATGAGAGTATACAAATTCCTATATCTATTAATAAAAATATATATCTTGTGAAAATTTAATTCAGGAGAATAAATATCCAGTACCTTTGACCATAAAATAGCCTGTTCTTCCATCTTAGCACCTTAAACAAAATGGCTTTCTTACATTCTGCAAACTGTCAAACCTCAAAAACCTTTGGTAGGGACTTGAGGAGGCATGCCAGATGAAGTCTATTTGTCTGGGTTAATGCTACTCTTTCTCAATGAAAATTGAAATGATGCCTAACAACCAACACTGAGAGAAACAACGTAAGTTCAATACAGTGACTTTTCTCTATCAACTTATCAATATAGGAGTTAAGAGTCAAGGTTCTAAAGTAATAATGTTTGGCTTTACATTCTGCCCTTCCTGGAATTTGGCAAGTTTCCTTACCTGTAGGTGCCTCCGTTTCCTTGTTTATAAAATGACAATCAAAATAGTTACTAGTTGTAAATATCTATTCATGATCTATGCATCAGCACATGGAATGTGGCAATCAATGAAAGAGATACAATCAATTGTATTCTGTTAATTAAAACCTTGTCTCCTTTCCAACACTGTTGAAATCAGACATGGCCATCAAGATTCTTTGCCTAGTGAAATATAAGTGCAAGTAACATATGTTACTTCTTGGTAGAAACTTTAAGTTCAAGTGAGCAATACATTGCATTTCCTTTTCCCAGCCTTTGTGATCATGGAAGCATGTTTTGAGATGAAGCCTCTATATTCATGAATTTTTATATGACATATTGTATAGAACCTCTTGCAGATTCATGATGTACGTATCACATGAGTGAAAAATAAACTTTAACATTTTAATTATCGAGATTTGGGGTTGTCCAGCAATGACTAACCTACTCTATTAAAACAAAGATGTGTATCATTGAGGAGCACTCATTCTGGTAGAGACAGACGATGGGGAAAAACATGATAAAGCAGGTAAGGAGTATTAGTACTAAAAAAAGAAAACAAGCAGGGAGGAAGCAGTGTAGAATTAGAGAGGCCAACTAATTAATGAAATTTGAGCGCTTAAAAAAGCATCAGGTGCACAGTAAGCACTCAATAAAAGTTATGTCTTCATTTTTATGTTGTCTACATTTAACACAATGAATTTGTTGACTATATAGTACGGTTGTTTAACCTTTTTCTTCCAATTACTTCTCTGAAATCTAAAGCAAAACCTCTCAGTCTGTTTTAGATGTTAGGACAGATAGCATCACATTCCCAGGGTTCCAAACCTTCCTTATTTAGCTTCAGGATATACAAATCTTAATATTAAGTCTTAAGGCACCAATGCTACCATACCTATGCTATTCGAAGAATTATTTTTAATACCATTGAGAAAACCCAGGTGCAGCATGCTTGTTAATTCCCACAATACATTTATCTGCTTGGCAGGTACAGCCTGTGAGCTTGACATGTTAATGTTGCTGTAATGCTCCTTTCCTCATCCAACTATCAGTGGGAATACTGCATGCAAAGGCAAAAACGGTGACACAGAAAAGGCATTGCCTATGCTAGGTTTGTTTTTCCTTGTTTTATCTAAGCTTGAACAGGAGAGGTTTTGTAATAGATATGTAATCATCTTCAAAGTGATGTTTTAAAGGGAAATATATTTTTATAAATTTATTATAGAAATCACTTGCATAAGAAAATAATAGAGGTAAGTAAATCACTTCTAGATAGTGAAAATGGGATATTTAAATTAAAAAAGATCAAACGATAGCTGTGTTTTCCTGTTTTACAAATACTTAACCTTATCATTTTAGAGAACTTGTTAAACTCAGATGAAATGGAGCAATACACAGGTAAAGAAAATTTACTCAGAAAAATCCTAAATATATGGCTGTAATCATGATGAGAGTCAAGTTAATTAATAAGCCAACAAGGCCTGCTATTTGATTTAAATGTACTGTTTTATTTGATTGGTTAAATTTAAGTTAGAAGAGATTGCTGGGAGTAAGAAACATTGAAATGATCATACTTATTTAAGTTTTCCTGATGCTGTTCATTCCAAGTATTCATTCCAAGTATTTATTGAACTTGGACAATTTATCAGACATTATTGTAAGAGCTAATAAACAAACCAAATAAGGTCTCTGCTTTTCTGGGGCTTTCATTCTAGAGAAGAGGAGACAGAAAATAAAGTGACCAAATAAATGACTGAGATTATTTCCGGCAGAAATGAGCATAAGAAATAAAATATAATCAGATGATATTATAGGGAGTGATTACTTGTGAAAGCAGACTGAGAAAAAAGTTAGGAAAAGCCTTCTCAGAAATAAATGTGATGGGAGGCTGTTTGATCTGAAATCTAAATGACAAAAACAATGGGACATTACCAAGATCTGAGGACATAGCATTCCTAGTATAAAGAAAAATTTCTCAAAAAGAGCCTAGGTGGAATAAAATTCCTTCAGTTGAGGAACAGAAAGGCCAGTGTTATCAGAATTTGTATCAAATCAGTCTATTATTGAGAGTGGATTAATAAAAAGACAAAAAAATAGCAAAAATTAGACAAGTTCGGAAAGTACCAAGTGTGAGATGATGGTGTGAACAAAATTAGAAAGTATGCAGGGCAGGAGGGCATGGAAAGATGCAGGATATGTTTGTACACAGAGCCACATGACTTTTTGAAGGATTGGAGGTTGAGTTCATGAGAAAAAGGAAGATATTGAGTATGCTACTGTAGGCTGGAAGCTGAGTAGCTAAGTAGAAGTAGAAGTTTCATTTTCTAAAAAAGAAAAAAAAATAGCTAATGTGTTAAGTACCTACTATGACTCAAGCATTCTTCTAATCACTTTAAATATTTGGCTCTTTAAAAATTGTCACTTAGTCATTTAGTCACTTTAAAAGATTTAACTCATTTGCTCTTTATAACAACCTTATAAATTGAGTACTATTTGATTCCCATTTTATGAATTAGAAAATTGAAGCACAGAGAGTACTTGATACAAGCCAACTGATATCAAGTCATAGAGCTAGTAGTTGTTAAGGTCTTGCACTACCATTTCTGGCTTCCACCCATGTAAGGATAAGCACATAGGTCTACCAAACACATATACTAGACTATTCATAGCAGCAATATTAGTAATAAATAAAAACTGGAAGCAAGTATTTACATGGAAATATGGATAAATAAATTGTGGTACTTTCACACAATGGAACACTTCATAGCAACAGTAATAAATGGGTAACTCTTATAGACAGAGCATTGACTGAAATAATCCACTCCAAAAGAAAATGCAGCAACCTGTTACATAACGACATTTTGGTCATCAGGGGACTGCATATGTGACAGTGGTCCCGTAAGATTATAATACTGTATTTTTACTATACCTTATCTATGTTTAGAGATGTGTAGATACACAAATACTTACAATTGTGTTACAATTGCCTACAGTATTCAGTACAGTAACATGCACTATAAGTTTGTAGCCTAGGAGTAACAGGCTATGTACTGTATAGCCTAGGTGTGTGGTAGACTATACCATCTAGGTTTATGTAAGTACACTATATGACGTCCCCACAATGATGAAATCGCTTAAGGATGCATTTCTCAGAACGTATCCCCATTGTTAAGGAAAGCATGACTATATATTGTGCAATTTCATTACATGAAGCATAGATGCAGACAAAACTTTTGAGATAGGATGGTAACTAAAAACCAGTAAGGGAATGGCTCCTGTGTTGTTGATAATATTTTATTTCTTGTTCTGGGTGCTGGTTACACAATCTGAACACTCAGTCTGAACACTCAGTGCACATGAGCACTCATCTACATTACCTGTAATTACAGTGTACTAAGATAAAAAGTTGACATAAGATAAAATAAAATAAATTTCATTCTAAAAATATTTATAACAAAAAGAGGCGCAGGATCCAACCCTGGCATCCACAATCCAGAGATGTAAATAAGAATAAGGACCCACAAAATGCACTGAAAGGTACAGTGCAGCCTATATGATTTGAGGATACTAAGGATTGTGGATTGTGTTACCAATTGTGGCAATTGTTGCTGAGAGGTCAAGAAATAGGAGGACAGAGAAGCTATCATAACATAACATTTAATGTTCAAGATTCTTTCCTAAATTTAATGTTTTGAATCACCTTGTTTTTAATCTTATATACTTTTACCTGTGTATCACTCTAATTTGTGATCTTAGTAGAAAAATAGAAATTGATCTTAATTTCATGGTTAAAATTAAATTTTAATCTCAAGATTTGAAATATAAAACTCAATATGGCTGTTCCCCTGCTTCCAATGAAGACTGCTATAAAATCAGAACAATGATTATCAAATGATGCCATGAATGTTAGCATTATTATTTTTAACTATTTCTTCAATAAAATGGATAATTTCTACCTCTGAGTGTGAGAGAAGCTGAAGTAGAGAACTCGGTTACATGGTGCCCTAACTTCCTGACCAAAGAATTTGTGAGATAATAAAAATGTGTGTTGTTTTAAGGTGCTAAATGTTGGGGTAATTTGTTATGTGTTAATAGGTAACTAACATGTGAGCTATACTCTTTAAAACTTAAAATGCACAAATGTAAAAAATTTGTATCAAATAAGAGACAATATTTATTTTTATACCATAAACAATTTCTATTGATGGGAATTAAACTGAGAAATTAGCTTTTATGATGCCTGAAATACATACAACGCGATGGCATTTTCTGGCACTACTGTCATCTCTCAGTATACATGAGGGATTGGTTCCAGGACCCATTTATACCAAAAGTTGCTCACACCCAAGCCCCAAGGTCAGCCCTGCAGAAATGTGTTTCAGCCTTGCAGAAATAAGAAAAGCCAGCCTTCCTTATATGCAGGTTTCAAATCCCTTGAATACTATATTTTCTAACTGCATTTGGTTGAAAAATACTGGCATTTAAGTGGACCTGTGCAGGTCAAGCCTGTGTTGTTCAAGGGTCAACTAACCTCGCACAAATGTGTAACTTACTATTAAATTATATATAAGAATATCAACCAATAGAATAGTCCTACATATTATTTTTAGTTTGATAAAACAAAATCATTATCGCTACTTTTAATTTCCTTTTTTGATGGTAGTAGTGTGTGTTTACTAAAGCTATGTTACTTCTCTAAAATGTAGATGTATAGCATTCTAAAATGATTACGTGTTTGCGTTAAAGATGTGTGTTTTGGGTAGGATAAATACAGGTAATGTTACATAGCGTAAACACTACAGGGTACAAATCACACACCCACATAATTATTTTATCTGAAGTCATGTTTTCTAAGTGGAATATCCCAAATCTAGAGGACTCTGCCGTAGATCTGAAAATGGGTTGTTACATTTAACCGACCTAGTAGATAAAGTGAATTTACTTGGATTAATAGGATTAAAAGAAAGCACTCTATCCTTTGTAGAATGGCATATCCTGATTTTCTAAAGGAAAGTGCTTTAGCCCTTTAGCACCAAATTCAATTTCCTATCTTGAAAAGGAGAGACCACGTCACAGGACACAAAACCACTCCTACCTTAAAATTTGGACACTTTGCAGTTTTGAAAATCCCTGGAACAAAAGTCTTATATCTCTGATAGAGCTTTTAAGTTCTTATAAAGGAACATTTAAGGAAGCGAGTCACTCAAAATGGCATATCAATTTTTACTTTACTCTGCATATTGATGGGTAATAGCTGCATATAAATAAATGTTTTAACATAGAATTATCTGCAATACTCATCTGTTTTTAAATTCTGTAAGTGTCTCAAATTTAAAATATGAGTGTGTGAGTTCAAATTACATTCTTTTTAACTTCTTTGAAACAAACTACAGATACAAAAATCTTTCTCAGTACAAACAAAACCATTTCTTTTCCTCCATTTTTAAGCCAAAGAAAATAAATACACCTACTGATCAAAATTTTAGCAGACAAGCATCACTTATATAATAAACGCAAGATATGGGCCAACTAGAGGTCAACACTAGAAGAGCTATCACCTGTCAGTTCCCTCTTTCTACATAATAGGTAAATGCTATTTTGTTAATAAAAGCAGGTTGAGTGGATATAATAGATTTTTAATAAGTAGGCTTACTCTTCCTAGGAAATATTCATTCTACAGGTTCAGATAGGTTTCTTGATTGCATGCAATGAAATTAGACTCTGGATGTCTGGCAAAAAAAAAAAAAAGAAAAGAAAAAGAAAGAAATTTATTTGCTGGATTTTAATGATTCAAGGTATTGCCTGGAACTTGTAGGGCCAAGTTTGGACCCCATTAAAAAAATGGGCAAAGAATATGTACAGACACTTCTTGAAAGAAGACATAAAAGCAACCAACAAACATATGAAACTATGCTCAGCATTGCTAATCATCAGAGAAATGCAAAACAACAGCGACAACAACAACAACAAAAAACACAATGAGATACCATCTCACACCAGTAAGAATGGCTATTATTAAAAAGTCCAAAAACAACAGATGGTGGTGAGGCCGTGGAGAAAAAGGAGCACCTATAAACCACTGGTGAAAATGTAAATTAGTACAGCCACTGTGGAAAACAGTTTGAAGATTTCTCAAACAACTTAAAACTGAGCTACCATTAAAACTAGCAATTTCATTACTGGGTATATACCCAAAGGAAAACAGATCATTATACCAAAAGACACATGCACTCATATGTTTATTGCCATGCTAATCACAATAGCAAAGATGTAGAATCAACCTAGGTGCCTGCCAATGGTGGACTGGATTTTTTAAATGTGGTATATATAGTCAATGAAATACTATGCAGCCATAAAAAAGAATGAAATCATGCCCTTTGCATCAACATGGATGGAGCTGAAGACCATATTCCTAAGGATATTAATACAGAAAAAGCAAACCAAATACTGAATGTTCTCACTCATAAGTTGGAGCTAAACATTGAGCACACATGGACATAAACATTCAGTGTCCATTGTAAGAATAATAGACACTGACGACTACTAGAGGAGAGGGATGGAGGGGGCTGTGGGATAAAAACTACCTATTGGGTACTAAAAGTGCAATATACCCATGTAACAAACCTGCACATGTGCCCCTTGTATCTAAAATAAAAGCTGAATTTAAAAAAAAAAAAAAAAGAGGAAGAAGAGAGAAACAGAGAGGCATCAAGACAAATTCTGACGGGTGAAGAAGCAGGAAATGAGATCACTGGTTGTAGAAAAAGCAGTTTGTCCAGGACATTGCTATAGGCCATTATCCACAATCGCAATTACAAGTGAATTCTGACCATACCCTGATGTTTGTTTGATCAGCACAATATTGCAAATCCTGACTTGGAATATCTGATACGCAGAATTTAAATTACATGCTGACGCCCTGTCCACCAAGGGGCGGAGAATGGAATATCTGACTCTTCTATTTTTGATGTTGGAGAAAGTATACCAAGACTATACATACTGGGGAGTTCCTTAGTATAGATAATAGGAAATCTTATGTGGGGCAGAGAAAGCAAAATAAACAAGTTATCAAACAAAACTAGCATATATTCACTCACCCCTCTTAATAATAATGCAGCATTATGAAGAACAACTTTAATATCTATTTTTTGTTATTAGAAGAATTTTGCTACAGGAATGATATGTGACAATTGATCTCATTAGGTAAATAAGTAAGATGCTACCTAAAAATGTTTTTTTTTCTTTTTTTTTTTCTTTTCTTTTATTATTATACTTTAAGTTTTAGGGTACATGTGCACATTGTGCAGGTTAGTTACATATGTATACATGTGCCACGCTGGTGCGCTGCACCCACTAACTCGTCATCTAGCATTAGGTATATCTCCCAATGCTATCCCCCCCCTCCCCCCACTCCACAACAGTCCCCAGAGTGTGATGTTCCCCTTCCTAAACAGGCCCTGCTCGGGGGGAAAACCGTGATTAAGTTCTCAGTGTTAGCTGATCTCAGGCACATATTGCATAACATTTTTTCTTAATTTGCTTGTAAAATTCATTATAATTGCTAAATATCTAAACATCTTGCTATTAATAGATTTTTTTCTCTCTCTCTTTTCTATATTTTATTCATATATACCACTCTTCTTCCCATATTCTTTTCCAGGCTCCTATTTGTCAACTGTGTTGACCATCTCTTCAGTTCTGTACCCTTTCAAAATGCTGGCAGTAACATTTTAAGTGATTCAATCACAACAGCACTTCTGTTCCTTGCTCCCCACAGCATAATTTTGATCCATACCCACAAAATGAAAATAATGTAAGATAGGAGCTAGAAAAGAAATGTCCTTTAAAAGACAGAGAGAGGATTCTTGATGGGAATGGAGAGGAGAATGAGGGAGGGAAAATACAAAGGAAAAAAAAGCCCTGTAACAACTTCTTAGTAGCTTCTCTACTTCTGTTTTCATATTAAGCATATTATATGTTAGTTTCACTTCAGTACAACTATATTTCACAGGAAACTATAGTCGGCCTTAAGATTTGTCAGAGTAATACCAAGAAATTGCAGTGATTCATTGATCAATGGAAAGCAAATGTTTAATTTCAGGAAAAAAACTAAAGTCTAGTCAACTTTATTCAGAGCTTTCTTCTGAAAAGATTTAACAGCCTATAAATTGAAGACTGGATTCATGGAGTACATTCAAATAATGGAGACTTCTTCCTCAGAGGCAATATTCTTCAAGGAGTCTGATAAATAGTCAGAAAATTTGTGGTCTTTTAGAAATGCCTGCTGGAGAGTTTAGTACTCCTTGTTAGAGGAGGAAAAAGGCTGCCATATCCTGGCTAGCATTTAAAATAAAGATTTCAGTCTTGCTTTAGGGTTTAGGGGCCAAAACTAAAAGAAAAAAAGTGTTCATATTCAATATCACCTACACTTTCAAAGAAGAAAATTATCCCATTTTGAGTTTAGCTATTACATTTAAGAAATATTCTTACTTTTCAGTAGTAGTGGAAGTTGATGTCTCACAACCTAGCAATTAGGATACAGTACTAAAGAATTTAGAGACAAATCTCATCCTTGAGAAGGAAAAAATACGATATTAAAGTAAGGAGCGGGGAAGTGATTGTCTAAAAAGATAGCAAAGGGAAAGAAAGGTGAAATCTATGAAAGAGAAAAATAGTTACAATCCATTTTCTTAAAAGGCAGTTAAAGTGGAACTGATAATGCATAATTATCTAAAGATCATAATAATATCTCTCCAGGTAAAAGCTGGAAAACTAATAAAGTCTGTCATATGTCCAGGGTGCACACTTCAGGATCATCAAGAAAGACCTGTATGCATATCTGCTTTGAAAGAATCTCATGTGAACTATCATCTGTTCTGAATGTCTAGCCCTTGAAAAATAATCAGTACTTTTTAAAAAGATGTTTATTTTCACATAAACACGGTGGCAGAAAACCCAAAGGAGGTCAAATAACATTTCTATAAAACACATCTATAAAAGGTTTTCATTTCAGCCTTTACAAGGACTCGACATACATAACCTGGAGGGGATAGGACATGCTTACTTACAAGTAGGTGTCTCAGAAAAGATATTTAGATTCCCCAGCAAAACAAAACTTCCTAGTCATCTCTGAAGAGGCAATTCTTGACTAATAAAAAAGCAAAATACATAACATAAAGAGAATGTGTGAATGAGAAGGGAAAAAATTGATGTTCCCATTCACTCTCTTTTCACACCAAGACTAAAGAAAAACATTTCGCTTTACTCAGAATCCAAAGAAAGACATTTATCTCAATGGCACAGATGCTTATCTGTTACATTTTAGTGTCCACCATGTGAACACTTGAGAATTTAAACAGCATTCACTGTGTAGACTTAGAAGTCTTATAAGAGCAAATGAAGTTCTTCTGAATGTTTTGCTTTACATACATATTAACTTCAAAAGTCATTTTATAAGTAGCTTCCATCCTTCCTCTGCTCCCTCACAAACTAGAAAGTCATGTAAAATGTACACATCAAAGAATCAAATCCAATCTAATTGCAGGAACATGGTATTATCAGTAATTTTTATTTTGGCCATTCAAAAACGTATGTAATAGCATCTCACTATGATTTTAATCTGCAATTTCTTAACTACTAAAATGGTGTTCAATATTTCTCATGTTTTTATATGCCAAGCTCATCCCCTCTTCGGTAAAGTGTCTTTTCAAATGTTTGTCCATTTTTAGGCTGTTATATTTTTACTGTTGAATTTTGAGACTTATTTATACATTCTTAATATAATGCTTGTCAACTATGTGATAACATATATTTTAACGTAGTCTGTGGCTTACATTCTATCCTCTTAACATGTTTATCACAGAACAAAAGCTTTTTTGTTGTTTAACCTTTTGATGAAGCCTATTGTGTGTGTGTGTGTGTGTGTGTGTGTGTGTGTGTGTGTGTGTGTACACAATTTTGCTTTTGGTTCCATGTCTAAGAATTCTGGCAAATGCAAGGTCATAAAAATTTTGTCCAATGTTGTCTTCTAAGAGTTTTATTGTATTGTGTTTTATATTTAGTTTATGATTGACTTTGAGTTAATTTTGTATATAGTTTGAGATTTAAACTAAGCTCCTTTTTTGCATATAGATGTTTAATTGTTTAAACACTATAATTTATTTTAAAGACTGACCTTTATTGTTTTGCATTTGTACTTTGCCAAAAATCAGTTAATTAATTAATTTTAATATAGCCGTATATCTGAGTCTATTTCTGCCCTCTCTATTCTTTTCTATAATCTACATATCTACGTATAGAAAATACCACATCATCTTGATTAATTTAACATTACAATTTATCTTTATTGTATAAATCCTTTATTTTTATTCTTTAACAAATTTGTTTTAGCTATTCTAGTCCTTTTGCCTTTCCACATAAAAGTTTGAAATCAGCTTGTCTATCCCTACAAAAACAATCAAACATCCTGCTGAGGATTGAATTATGTAAAACCTATGACCAAAGTGGGCAGAATTGACCTCTTTACTGTATTGAACTTTTCAATCCATGTATACAGTATGACTCTCCATTTATTTAGGTATTCTTTGACTACTTTTATTAGCCTTTTGTAGTTTTCAGCACACAAATCCAGTATATGCTTTGATAGACTATATCAAAATACTTCATTTTGAGGAGCTATTTTAAATGGTATTTTTAATCAATATAACCATTGCTAATTGTCCATTGCTAGAACATATTAAAAAATTGATTTTTGTGTCTCGATCTTATATTTCATGATCTTGCCAAACTTCCTTATTAGTTCTAAGTCATTTCATTTTTTTTTTTTTTTTTTGGTACTTTCGTTGGTATTTTCTATGTGGACAATCATGTCATCTGCAAATAAGCCTGCCTTCCTTCCTTCCTTCATCTGTCCTTCCCTCCCGTCCTCCCTCCTTTCCTTCCTTTCTTCCTTCCTTCTTTTCTTTCCAATCTATATGAACTTTAGTTCTTTTTATTGCCTTATTGCCCTGACAAAAAAAATTCCAGTGGAATCTTTAATAGTAGTCCTGAGCGTGGACATCCTTACCTTATTCCCAATTTAAGGTAAAAGCACTCAGTTTTCACCATTACATATGAGGTCATCTGTGAATTTTTGTAGACAACTTTTATTGAGTAAAGGAAGTCTTCTTCTATTCCTGGATTACAGAAAACTTTTTTCATGAAAAAAATTGCATTTTGTCAAATGTTTTTTCTGCATAAATTGATATTATCATGTATTTTTCCTTTTAGACTGTTAATTGGTAGATTAACTGATTGTTTATATTTAATGAGCCTTGCTTACTTTTCTAGGATAAAGCACATTTGGTTTGATGTACTATTTCTTTTCTAGATTGTTAGATTCAATTTGCTAATACTTTGTAAAGAAATTTTGCATTTATGTTCATGAAAATATTTTTCTTTTTAAATTTTTTATTAATACATAATAGGTGTACACATTTGGGGAGTACATGTGGTAATTTGATACACTCATATAATCAAATCAGGGTAATTGGGATATCTATCACCTTAAATATGTATCTTTTTTAACTCTAAAAACGTTCTAATTATCCTCTACTAGCTATTCTGAAATGTACAATAGATTAATATCAACTGTAGTCATTCTACTGATCTATTGACCACCAAGTCTTATTTCTTCTAACTGCTTTGTCTAATTTTGATATGAGAGTTATGCTTGGCACATAAAATTATTTAGAAAATGTTCTATCCTCATATCTGTAGAATTGGTGTTATTTCTTCCATATATACTTGATAGAAATAAACTAATATCAGCTGGGCCTGAAGATTTATTTTTAGGGGGAAGATTTTAAACTACGGACTCAATTTCTTATTAGTTATAGGATTACTCAAGTTACTTATTTTATCTTGGATGAGTTATAATAGCTTGTGGATGTCAATGAATTAACCGATTTCAACTAAGTTACTAAATCTATGTGCAAAGAGTTGTTTATAGTATTTTTTATAATTGTATTAATGTCTGGAGTTTCTAAAGGTGTATTTCCTCTTTTAATTCTAATATTGGTAATTTGTGTCTTTACTATTCTCATTTACATTGTCGGTCTTGTTAGAGGTTTATCACTTTTATTAATCTTTTCATAGAAACAGATTGGTTGCATTGATTTTCTTTATTTTTTTCTGTTTTCAATTTCATCAATCTTTGCTATTATTTTATTAGTATCTTTCTTCAGTTTGCACTGGGTTTATTTATCTCTTCTTTTACCATTTCTCAAGATGGAAACAAATTATTGCCTTGACAACTTTTTGTTCTAAAGCAAGCATTAAATGGCAAAAACTTCTAAGTAATACATTAGCTACTTACCACAATTTTTATATATTTGCAATTTTGTTCAGTTAGAAATACATTCTAATTTCTTTAAGACTCCCCTTCTGACCCATGAATTATTAAGTGTATTTTTAAGGCAAAGTTTGGAGTTTCTTTTACTGATTTCTAGTTTAATTTTATTATGGTCACAGAATATACTTTAAATGATTTCAATTGCTTCAAGTTTAATTTGTGTAGGATTAATTTATGAACAAAGATACGGTCTATCTTGTTCTGTCTTCATAGCTTATTCAAGGATATGGTCTATCTTCAAGTTCTATGTGTGCTTGAAAAGAATATATATTCTACTGCTTGGGAGCAGAGTGTCCTGTAAATGTTAAATAGATCCAGTCAATCGATGGTGTTGTTAAGATCTTCTACATCCTTTCTGATTTTCAGCATACTAGTTCTGTCTATTGCTGACAGAGCAGTATTAAAGTCTCCAACCATAATTGTAAATTTCTCTATTTCTCCTTTTGGTTTTCTGTCAGTTTGGTTTAATGTATTTTAATCCTGTGGTGTTAGTTATAGTCTAGAATTGTTTTAATATTCTTGGTGAATTGGTCATTTTTTTCAGTATATGGTATCTATCATTAGTATTACATTTTTATTTGTATAAATTTAAGGGGTGCAAGTGCAGTTTTGTTACATGGATATATTGCATGGTGGTGAAGTCTGGGCTTTTATCGTAACCATCGCCTAAAAAATGTACATTGTACCCATCAAGTAATTCCTCACCCCTCAACCCCCTTCCCTACCCATGCCACCTCCACCCTTCTAAGTGTCCAGTGTCTTTTATTCCAGATTCTGTGCTCATGTGTACACATTATTTAGCTCCCTCTTTTAAGGGAAAACATGCAATATTTGACTTTCTGTTTCTGAGTTGTTCCACTAAAGATAATAGCCTCATTTCCATTCATGTTTTTCACAAAAGACATAATTTCATTCTTTTTTTGACTGAATAATATTCCATTGTGTGTATATATTTTATTTATGTAATCATCCCTTTATCAACACAGGTAGATTCCATATCTTTGCTTTTGTGAATAGTGATGCATTAAGCATATGAGTGCAGATATCTTTTTGATGAAATGATTTCTTTTCCTTTGGGCAAATGTCCAGTAGTGGGATTGCTAAATCAGATGGTAGTTCTATTTTTAATTCATTGAGAAATCTCTTAACTGTTTTTCTTAGATATTTTACTAATTTACATTTCCACCAAGAGTATATAAATGTTTCCTTTTCTACATCTCTTCACCAATATCTGTTAGTTTTTGACGTTTTAATAATAGTCTTTAGGACTGGTGTGAGATGATACCTCACTGTGGTTTTAATTTGCATCTGCCTTGGCTAACAGTCAACTTAGAATAAATATTTTACCACTTCAAGTGAATTGTAGAAACCTCACCACTATGTAGGTCCCATACCCCTTTCCCTCTTATTCTTGCAGTTGACTTCTATATTACATCTACATACACTGAAAATCAAACAATGTTATTTTTGCTTTCACCTACAAAATATATTTTAAAGAACTCAAAGAAGAAGAAATTATTACTGAGGCAGCTTTCACTTCTGATGCTATTCCTTTATTCTTCACGTTCTGAGTTTCCTTCTGCTATTCCCCCTGCTCCACCCCACCTTTTTTTGAAGATAAGGTCTCACTCTGTTGCCCAGTTTGCAGTGCAGCAGTGTGAACATGGCTTACTACAGCCTCAAACTCCTCAGCTCAAGACATCCTCCCACCTCAGCCTCCCAAGTATCTGGGACTACAGGTGCGCTCCACCATGCCTGACTAATTTTTGTATTTTTTCTAGAAACAGGGTTTCACCATGTTGCCCAAGTTAGTCTTAAACTCCTGGACTCAGGAAATCCACCCGCCTTAACCTCCCAAAGTGCTGGGATTACAGGCATGAGCCACTGTGCCCAGCCAATATTTGCCTTATGTCCTAAGAACTGCCTTTAAAGAAACTTTTAGAGTAGGTCAGCTGATAATTAATTTTCTTGGTTTTTCTTCCTCTAAATAATGTCTATGTCATCTTTATTTATGATTAATATTTCCACTGGATACAGAATTGTGAATTGACAGTTGTTTTCTTCAGCATTTTAGGAGTGTAACATTTTCTTCTGGCCTCCATGGAATTCTCAGTCATGCCAGCTGAATTTTGTCTCCTACAAGTAATGCATTGGCTTTCTCTTGCCGCTTTCAAGATTCGTGTGTTTGTGTGTGTGTGTGTGTGCACGTGCACGCACGCACACACGTGCCCCATTTGTTATAAGTCTTTTTATTGTTATGTACCTGAACATGAATTTCTTTAGCATCATTCTGTTGGGGGTATGCTAAGCTTCTTAAATCTATAGATTTATGTCCTTCATCAAACTTGGAATGTTTTCAGTCACTATTTCTTCAGATATTGCCCCAGCACTACATGCTTTTTTCTCTCATGTCTCCCTTTAATAATATGAATGTTAGACATTCTTTGTCCCATGTATCCCTGAGCTTTGTTAGCGTCTCCTGTAGTTTTTCTTACTAACATTCAGATTAAATAATGCTATTGCTATAGATGAGTGTTTGTGTTTTCGCCCTCCTTAAATTCATATGTTGAAGACCTAACTCTTAATGTGATGTAATGAAATTAAGAGGTGGGCCCTTCTGGTGGTGATTAGGTTCAGAGGAGGTCACGAGTGTTGAGTCCCCATCATGGGATTAGTGTTCTTATAAGAAGAGACCAGACAGCTGGCTCTCTTTCTCTATCTCCAGCATGTGAAGACACAGTAAGAAGATGCTGTCTGCAAGCCAGGAAGACAGGACTCATCAAGAACTAAATCTGCTGGTGCCTTAATTGTGGGCTTCTCAGCCTCCAGAACTATGATAAGCACATTTCTGTTGTTTAAGCCACTGAGTCTATGGTATTTTGTTGTAGGAGCACAAGCTGACTAAGATAGTAGTTGAGCCATCTTCAAATTCACTGACTCCTCTATCATGGCTATTTTGTTAGTGAATATAATTTTTGTTGTCATTTTATTTCTTATTTTTAAAGTTTGTTTTGTTTATATCTTCTATTTATTTACTGATTTTCCTATCTTTTTATTCAATATTTTCACAATTACTTATTGAAGTATTTATTTAATAGCTGCTTAAAATCTTTGTCGGATAATTCCAATATCTATGTCTTCTAGGCAAAGGCATCTGCTTATTTTCTTTTCCTATGTGAGCTGATATTTACCTGATTCCTTTTAAGGTGAGTAATTTTAGATGCTATTCTGGACATAATGAATGTGATATTTTTATTTTATTTATTTTTTCTTTTTTTTGAGATGGGGTCTCGCTGCGTTGCCCAGGCTTGTCTCCAACTCCTGGGCTCAAGCAATCCATCTGCTTGTGCATCTCAAAGTGCTAGGATTACAAGTGTAAGCCACTGTGCCCAGCCTTTATATTTTTAGCCCTCAATTTTTTGTTTCGGAGAACTGAAATACCCACACCATAAATTCTGTCTGGGTTTTATAGTGGTACTCTGTGAGAGAGACATGATCGTGCACTTACTCTGTTTTATCCAGAATCAAAACACTTCAGAATACATTCGATAGTCTCAATCTTCCTATTTTACTTTCTCTTCAGTAGTTACATTCAAATAACTGATTTAAATATATCTTTTTCAGTTGTGGTTGTCATTTTTCATTACAGTCTTCCAGAAACATAAGAGCACCCACAACTAATTAATTAATGACAATCACTCCCTATGTTAATGTAAAATTACAGAAAATAAAAGAAATATTAGTTGGTACAAAAAATATGTATAGATTTTTAATCATGTTACTGTTTCTCTTAGCACATAACAAGCATTTTTATTAATGGCTTAAATAAGCGTGTGATTTATGAGCAACATGACTTGACAACTTTAGAATATGTCAGTATTAACAACGCACTAAGTAAACTACTATACTGAAAAGGCTCAAATTGTATTAACTTTTATTCTTTCCTACATTGTCTTTAAATTCAGTACTACATTAAGTCCAAGAAAAGTAAAACTATTCATTAAATTACTCCCCAAAGACTTCAAATTAAACAGCTAGAATCCTTGGGATTTAGAACATATCTCACTTTTATCCAAAATGGCTTGTGTTGAATCCCTTTTGACAGAGATGGTTCAACTGTTATAGTGACCTGCTCTTATCAAACTGCTAGCTATTGTCAGTATACTTCTTTTACTTTGGAAGTAGTAAGATACAGTTTAACTTTAAAGAATTGAAAGCTCTGCCTGTAATAACTTTATAATACCACGTGGTCAACGTGTTAAAAATGCTTCACAATCACTAATAATAATAGCAAATTCACGGCAGGTTTTTGGTTAAATTTGTGGGGATTTTTTGTCAATTCAGCGACAGCTGTCAAAATGCATTTTGCTATTTGAAGAAATTTTGACCGAAAGTGAATGTTTTAATTATTGAAATGTAATATAATTAAAAACTTGGCTTGTAACTAGAGAATCCTCTATTTTTGCCAGTATACACAATCTTCTATGCCATTTCTCCATTATATTTATTTGGTTTAAGGAAAGATTTATTTTAAAGATCTATACAATTTATAAAAAATTAGTGGTGGAGCTCATATTTCTATAATGGGAAATAATTTTAGAAATCATACCACTCTCATCTTAGAGGTGAAAATTCTCAAACTCAGAGACTCAGCCTACATCATGCAAGTCAGGCACCCCAGTTTTGTAAATCACCTAATATTATTTCTATAATATGAAAATTATTTTGTGAGTCTCCTGTCCCTCTAAGACAAATGCACAGTAATGCAAAAATTTGCTGAAATTTTAAGGGTTCATTTAACACTCATGGATGTTATGAGAGTCTCTAGATTAGAAAACTGCAGAAGGACAATTTACTAGCTATCTGGACAAAGAAAAGGTCTGTACCACACATCTTAAACTAAGGTAACTTCCAAATGGATTAAAATTTTAAAGGTGAAAATGGAAAAATTAATGTTCTAGAATCAAACATGGCTGAGTCATTTCGTTTTCTTGAAATGAAGAGTTGAGTCTAACTGTACCTCAAAAATCCACAAACTAAAAAGGAGTAACAAATTTGACTATAAAAAAGATAAACATCAAAAGATAAATTTAGAAATATATTCAACTCTACACATATTAAGGGCCATTCTAGCATGGTAGGCAGAATGGCTCTTAAGTGAAGTGCCTGCCATAGTCTCCAGATTCTGTAAATATGTTAATTTGCAAAAGGAACTTTTCTGATATAATCAGCTTTATTTTAAGAAGCTACATTTGTGATAATTTGTTACAGTAGTGTCAGAAAACTTATAAAACTATCCAGTATTTAAGAGTGAAATTTAGCCTGCAGATATAGTTGAAAATATATTAAGTATTTTTTGCAAATTTTTGTTTATTGAAGCATAGTTTGTTACTGTTTCCAGTAAAAGACTGGAAAACACCTAAATGTCCATAAGTAGGAATTTGCTGAATAAATTGAGTTACAACCATATTATGGAATACTTCTCAGCTATAAATAAGAACAAAAAAGCTTTTTATACTGTTATAAAAAGACATCCAATATATAATATACTGTCAAATGAAAAATACAAACACAATACTATGTGTGAAACGATAGAAAAAATTAAAAATCTGTTGATATTTACTTGTATATGCATAAAATCCTTTGGAAAAATATAGAAGAAAGCAACAACTATTTTTAGATATAGTAATGAAGAGGAAACTGGGTATTCTCAGTCCCCAGAATTATTTTTGTGAGTCTCCTGTCCCTCTAAGATAAATGCACAGTAATGCAAAAATTTGCTGAAATTTTAAGGGTTCATTTAATACTCATGGATGTCATGAGAATCTCTAGACTAGAAAACTCTGCAGAGGGACAATTTACTAGCCATCTGGACAAAGAAAAGGCAGGTCTGTACCACACATCTTAAACTAAGGTAACTTCCAAATGGATTAAAATTTTAAAAGTGAAAATGAAAAAATTAATGTTCTAGAATCAAACATGGCTGAATAATTTCATTTTCTTGAAATGAAGAGTTGAGTCTAACTGTACCTCAAAAATCCACAAACTAAGGAAAGGAATATTTCTCTGTGTATATTCTAATAAATGTTTTAACCATGCATTGTTATTCTAATGTGTGTTTAAATAATGATGATGATGATAGATAGATAGATAGATAGATGATAGATAGAGAGATAGATGATAGAATACAAAAATAATGTATTTGAGTTATCTTACACTACCTTGTGTTTTCTTTCATATATATAACTGCTTAATGGTGTGATTCACTAATAAGGAGAAAACATATCCTGTCTAAAGGAAGAGAGAAGAGAGAAAAGGAAAGAAAGAAAAACTCATTTTTAATTTGTCATTAACACACCATGTTCTGTTATTGGAAATAAAAATTTGGATTTTCCAGTTTCACTGGAGCTGTAATACAAATTCATCTTGATAAGGTAGCAATATTTTCTGAATATTCCACATGAATAGATGTGACATACAGAGGCTAACAACACATTACATATTTTTTAAGGGTAGGAGAAGACAAAAAAATTAATTACTAAAACAATTAGCATCAAATATTGAAAAAAGTAGCAAAAGACAACCCATTTTTCTTACAGTTGCTCCTTTCCTCCCTGACATTGAGCATCTCTTTTCTCTGGTCACTTCTCTGAGAAGCAAACCTTTCTCTCCTCATCTCATAAAATTTGTTCAATAGTAGGGGTCATGAAAGTAAAAGCAGATTTTGCCAATATGCAAAGAGTAAATGTGAGGCCAAGGATGTGGCAGAAATCCAGACCTGTTAGTTCTCTGCCAGATTTTTAGAGGGTCTCTCCCTAATGCAGGCTTGACTGGCTGGTAACAGTACAAGCAAAGACCTGGGAGGTGGACAGTGATGGGTAAGTTTGGAGTTCTTTCAAGTTAATAGGGAAGCATTTAGAATAAGGTGTGACAGGTGATATCAAACAAAATTAGGAGGGTCTTAAAGACTAAGTAATTCTAATTAAGCAACCAGGCATCTTCACAGATTGTTCAGAAAAGAGTGGCAGCACCAGAGATATGCTCTGAAGATTAATCTGGCAGAGTGTTATACAATATGAATGGATTAAGGAAGACAAGAGGCCAGAAAATTTGTAGGCAAGAGCATGAGAGAAAGCACTTTTAGATTCAAAATCTACTTTAGCCTTCTAAAAATTAGTGAGGCTGGTTGGCAGTTGCATTATTTACTGCTAAGTCTGATTAAATCCCAAAAGCATTTTTTAAAGGAGAGATTAAAGGAAGTGAAATCAGAAGTTAGAACCCAGTGAAAGTATCCACAATTTTTCAAAAAATTCATTTCCAAAAGGCCATCCAGTTAATGTAAGAAACACTCTGATGCATCCGTGGCTAAAACTCTGATATTTCTTATAAGAACTGCCATTTCTAAAGTGTAATTGCATAACACATTGCTAAAACAGTAATGAAAGAATTTTAGAGCATCCATCAAAGGACATCGAATGTGAAATAAACAGCATTAGTTTAGGAATCATGGGATTGCCATACAGGACATTAGACAGCACTGCCCTCTGCAGTTAAATGTGCTCTACTAGTTGAGCCCTTCAGCATTTGTTACAAACCCAAGCCTCAAACCACTCAGATATTTTGTCATTTCATTTACTGTAGCCAACAAACTGATAGCATTACCAAAGTCTCCAACCTCAATCCCTACAAAAGGAATTACTTCTAATAATGAAAGGTAGCATGAAAAGTAAGGAATAATGAGGACAAATCCAGTTTTGTTTACTGACTTCTATGTACTAGACTTTGTTCTTGGTGAACAAGATGGGAAATATTCTTGAATCATTGGTGTTTCGACTCTATGGAAGGGTGGAACCATACCATAAAGAAGCCATCAAACAATTGAATAAAATTGTCGTAAGTTGTGAAAAATGTCATGAAATAAACCAAATCTAACACAGAATTTCAGGTAGATCTCATCAAAGGAGGTGATGCATCAATTAAAATCTGAGGGATAAGAAAAGACATAAATATGTGAAGAGTAGGGAAAAGTAGAGGGAATGGCATGTACAAATATCCTGTGGTGAGCAAAGAGAGTAGCATATTCCAAGAACAGAAGGAAGACAGTGTTGCAAGAGAATGCTGAGCAAATGGGACAAAGATAACATAAGGGTTAATTGCTAAGCAGAGACAGATTTTAAATATTTTACCTACATTTAGGACCTGGTAAAAAAAATAAAAATTTTTTCTAAATGCAATAAGGACTTTTTCAAGGGTTTTGAGTGAAAAATAATTGTAAAGTTGTCATGTTGTTACAAGATAATTTTGGTTGTTCTGTGGTGAGCACATCCCAAAGGGAGAAGAAAAGACAGCATTCCAGATAGTCTTCAGAGAACTCGTATATCATATAACAAACTTATTCTAGTCCAGTCTTTGTTTTGTGGTTATAGAGGAGTGTTAAGGAAGAAGAAAGGTTATATTCACTTATAACCAATCAATTCATAGCCTTACATTGGTAAACACTTGCCCTGAAATTACATCACTGTCCTCAGCAAAAGAAGATGGTTTAATGACTATTTAATTACAATATATAAAATAGGATTAAGTTCATAAAATCATGGGTGAAATTTCAAAAGAGAAGAGTTCACAATGATTTACCACCTTTGAAATGGAAAGGCCCACGATGTGCTACTAGCCTGTACTCTCCAGATAGGACCTTACATTTGAACATCCATAGATGGTAAACAGCTCCTATATTATCCCTGTGCAGTCAGGAGGTTGCTTTAACATGAACTATCAATCCCTCTCATATGTTAACGTAAGAAAGGCTCAAAAATCCCACAAATAACTAGGATTTCCCAACAAAGAAGCCCCTTCTTATTCATTTCCCAGAGTAAATGGCATTTGTCCACTTCTGATGTAGAACAAGAGAATGGAAATAAAACTACTGATTTTTTTCCAGGAAATTGAGCTGTTAATTCACTCATTTTGAGCCTTTATGATCTTTTCTCCCTGAAGTAGAAAAGAGAGAGAGAGAATTTTGCTCACCATTCAGGATCTCTTTTTGTACTTTAAAACAACTCAGCAGTACTATCTGTAATACAGTTCCACAGAGAGAAAAATTTATTTTCTATAAAAAGTGATACATTAAACATTCCAGTTTCTGGCTGCGGCATTAATGGAAAGCTTAAGGACTTCTAGAATTGAATTAACTGCCCCAGTAATTTGAAGTTATTCTGATTTCTTAGTCTAGGTTTTCATAGCTTACAAGTATGTGCGTGAAAATGAAATCATGAACGGAATATTAACAGACTGATAAAGAGCCTTCCAACTGGTGACACAGAATCCACTGCTACAAATAACTAAATGAGATTAATATTACTGATAATATATATTCTCTATACTTTGATGCACACCATTATCTATTTCAATTTCTAACATATCTGCCATGCTTTATTTACTTTTATTTTTAAATTAATATAAATAGAAGCTGGCGTCCATGTAATATGAATACCTTTTATGCAGCACTAAGTAAAACACTGGTTCTGTGAATATTCAGTTCACTTATCAAATGTCATAGTGTGTGTGTGTGTTAGGTTAACCATTTCAGAGTGAGTAATGATCAATATTTAAGGAATATTTGAGGCCTAACAAACATATCAATACTTGTACAAATTTAGCTTCTTTGCAGAACTGGAAGTAATGATTTATTTCTAGTTTTGGTTTTTTGTTTGTTTTAGAGACAGAGTCTTGCTCTGTCACCCAGGCTGGAGACAGTGGAGCAATCTCAGCTAACTGCAGCCTCTAACTTTTGGTTCAAGAGATTCTCCCACCTCAGCTTCCCAAATAGCTAGGACTACAGGTACAAGCCATCATGCCCAGCTTACTTTTTAATTTTTTGTAGAGATGGGGTCTCAATATGCGGCCCAGCCTGGTCTTGAACTCCTGGCCTCAAGAAATCCCCCCGCCTCAACCTCCTAAAGTGCTGGGCACCATGCCCAGCCTATTCCTAGTTTTCAGTTAGATATATTTAATACTGGAGGATTATCTAATGCTATGTGAGGGTACATTTTTACCATGAGAGATGGACAAATATTAAAATTCTGTTCAGCATCACAAATACTGCATCAGGGTAGGCTGAAGTCAAGCTTCTGAGACTATTCTGGCCTAATTAGCAGTACAATATTTGTTTAAAAGTCTCCCTTTCATGACTTCTGCCATTAGAAACTAAACACCATGGAAATGGCTTTTGTAAAGCAACATTTCTTTATTCCTGTATTTTTCTTCTATCTCTCAACTAAGTAAGGATTCTACAAATGCAATGTCTCTCTTTTGTTTTACTAATAGATATTGCAAAATGTACCTTTTTAAGAGAGCCAGGTGCAGTGGCTCACACCTGTAATCCCGCACTTTGGGAGGCCGAGGCGGTTGAATCACCTGAGGTCAGGAATTCGAGACCAGCCTGGCCAGCATGGTGAAAATCCCCCTCTACTAAAAATACAAAAAATTAGCCAGACACGGTGGCTGGGCACCTGTAATCCCAGCTACTTGAGAGGCTGAGGCAGGAGAATCACTTGAATCCAGGAGGCGGAGGTTGCAGTCAGCCGAGATTGCGCCATTGGACTCCAGCCTGGGCAATGAGAATGGAACTCCATCTCAAAAAAAAAAAAAAAGAGAGCCAAACAAGTAAATGAAATTAAGTCCAATTCAAGTTTACCAGATTAAAAAAAAAAAGAAAAGAAAAAAAAGAACAGAGCTATAGATCAGGAGCCCATTGCTTAATAATGAGCTAAAGGCAGATTGTAAAGTTGACGGATTTCACAAAGTATTTTATTGAGGTCATGCACAATTATAAGCATTGGAACTGCAGTGAAATGACAAAAGTCTGTGTGTAACTTTAATGGAATCTATTAATAATTGACATTTATTGAGTAATTTATAGGAAGTCTCAAGATCCAAAATATTTCTTGATGGTTTCACTTAATCTTACAAGAACCCAGTTAAATTTCTACTTTTTTTAAGCGTTATTTTAAGTTCCAGGATACATGTGCAGGATGTGCAGGTTTGTTACATAGGCAAACGTGTGCCATGGTGGTTTGCTGCATGCACTATTCATGATAGCAAAGACAGGGAATCAACTCAACTGCCCATCAATGATAGACTGGATTAAGAAAATGTGATACATATACACTATGGAATACTATGCAGCCATAAGAAGGAATGAGAATATGTCTTTTGCAGGGACATGGATGGAGGTGGAAACCATTATTTTCAGCAAATTAAATTTCTACTTTTAAACTCCCTATTTGAAAAATGAGAAAATACAGGGTTAGAGCATTTTAATGACTTACTCAAGGTCATAGAACTCAAAAGTGTTGGGTCAGGGATTTGAAGGCAAGCTGGCTCACTCTTACTATTCCCTATTTCCTAAAAATATTTTTTCAGCACTTATTACGATTTTCTGTATTTCTGGGGGCGTGACTATTGTTATCCTCCTCCCATGATTGAAGAAACTGAGACTCAGAGAGAAAAGAAAGAAGTAACATGCTTAAAATTGCACAGTACACCATTGCCAGATCTAAACTTTCAAGCCAAGAGTTCATATCCCTTTAGATTAAAACTCGAGAGACTATATAAATACAATCTAAAGCAGTTAGTCTTAACTTTACCTGATTTTCTATAATGATTCTCTATATTTAAAAAAATTGTAATATAGAATATGCAGTAGATCTTGAC
Source organism: Homo sapiens (assembly GCF_000001405.40). Classification (NCBI taxonomy): domain Eukaryota; kingdom Metazoa; phylum Chordata; class Mammalia; order Primates; family Hominidae; genus Homo; species Homo sapiens. The sequence continues at coordinate 86,505,298 of NC_000005.10, forward strand.
TTGTTTGACCATTTTCCATATACATACCTTTGTGTTTGCTATAAATTAGAAGCCAGAATTATTCCAGGAGAGGGAAAGGGTAACCTGTGAGGACAATGGCTTATTTTATATACACATATAATATAGCCAGAAAAATTCTCAAAATTCTATATCTGTGCAGGAGCAGGGGCTATATGGGAAATCTCTGTATCTTTCTTTCAATTTTGCTGTGAATCTAAACTGGTTATTGAAATACTCAGAAGATGACAAATTTTTGCATATTATGTCATCTGCCCAGGTGACATTAATTATTCTGGCATCACAGAAAATGTAGAACCATTTGTAATTGTAGTTCATTTGTAAACATAAAGTTGGCCCTTTGCTTGTGAACATTGCTATCTGTTGTCCTCAGCTTCAGGCCCACCTTATCCACACAATATTAGCCCTGGCATGTACCATATTCATGACCCCTGTAGTTACAAATCAAGAGGTTGGAAAGCTGAAGGTCACATTACACTTCAGTCTGGGCTCTGTCAAAATAAAATCAGTTCGAGTTACACAAATTTTTAGTTTATTGTCACATAGAAAAGAAAGTACAGATTGCAACCTAGGAGACTCAATCCGAAAAAAGGTGAGAAATTTAACTCAGCAGTTATAGGATGACTCATCAATCAAAATAAGGAAGTTTGAAACCTTTATAATGATTGGATATTACAAGAGAGGTTTCCAGATGATAGAGGATTGGTTAAACGTGATTATCTTATACAATTTCTAGAAGGCAATGTAAGCTTCATTTATGATTTCAGAAGCATTTACAAGAAATAACCTAAGTTTCACTTACATTTTTAAAAATACGCTAAGTTTGGCCGGGCACAGTGGCTCACGCCCGTAATCCCAGCACTTTGGGAGGCCAAGGCGGGCGGATCACAAAGTCAAGAGATTGAGACAATCCTGGCTAACACGGTGAAACCCCGTCTCTACTAAAAATAGAAAAATTAGCTGGGCGTGGTGGCGGGCGCCTGTATTCCCAGCTACTCCGGAGGCTGAGGCAGGAGAGTTGCGGGAACCCGGAAGGCGGAGCTTGCAGTGAGCCGAGATCGCGCCACTGCACTCCAGCCCGGCGACAGAGCCAGACTCCCTCTCAAAACAAAACAAAACAACAAAAAAAAAATACGCTAAGTTTTTATTATGTGGCCTACCTGGTTTTGTCTGCTTGGGGAACTCTCAGGCCTGATCTCCATTTTATTTTATTTCAACAGTTCCACAACTGATGAAGCTTTCACCAGGTGAACTAACGTCTACAATAATTGAAATGAGGTCCAGTCAGGTTCCACCTCTGCTGTTTCTGTTTTTATTGGCTGCAGTATCGGAAGTCCCAATATCTGGACCCCATTTTTTTGAGGCATAGAACATTCATTTTGCCAGCATGGAAGGAGTTGAAATAGTGTGATCATAGACCCAGCAGTTTGGGCAGCTACTTACTAATTTTCCAAATCCTTGGTCTTGGCAGAAATAACCACTTATTATTGCTAGGTCAGTACCTACAGCAACAGAAAAGCACAATGGTTAGGAATATGAATTTAGGAGTTGCATTGCCTGTGTTCAAATGCCAGCTCTGCCACTTACTACTAGTGCAATGGTAGGTAAGTGATTAGGAAAAAAATGCGTAGTGAGAATTTATATGTATAAAAACATGTAGAATGATCCCTGGATCATAGAAAGTACTATCTCTTCAGGAAATAATTTCTTTAAGCTCAACCTAGAGCCTGTATCTCTTCCATCCCTTTACACAATTGTGTAGACATACAATTTTCCATATTAAATCTCTTTTGGCTCAAACCAAATAAAGTGGTTTTTACTGTCTTCTATTGAACCTTGACTGATACATGGGCTGTTTTCTATTTCTTTTTGAGTACTGGTTATTAAATTACAAAAAATAATTAAGAAATTAGAGGATGTGAGGCGGTTTAAAAGCTAAAGGATATTCTGCGATTTGGTTATAAAGGCAAGTACAACATAAATGCAGCATTTGGATCCACAGAAGTAAGGTAAATTATTTCTAAAAAATGTTTGCTAGAAGCTTTGAGTGTATTTCCAGCCATGCTTCTTCAGGCACAATACTTTAAAGCAATTGTATTTAATAGCTCACACCTCTAGCTCTTCTTGTTGCTAAATTAACAATAGACACCATCCAGAAAATCCTATTGAAAATGAGACCACTGCAATGAAACTTTCTTCATTTCAAAAAGTTATTTGTCTAGATAATTTATTTCATAATTCATTATTTATTTACCTAGTTCATTTATCTTTAAAATATTAGAAATTTAAAAGTTTCCAAAAGTCTTCATTGCTCTCTAGACCCATATATTTCACTGCATACTCCACATCTCCATTTAAAATTAAGCATCTTAAACTTACCAGGAAGCTCCTTAGTCTCAACATCTGGTAAATGGTTCTATTATTCATCCAGTTGCTAGAACCAAAAACCCATGAGTCATCCTTAGCCCTTCTTTTCCTCACACTCCAGATACAACTCATCTGACTTTGGCCTGACTCTCAAAATATATCTCAAATCAGTTCTTTAATAATTACACTCTCAGTTAAGTAGTCGGGTTCAGTGAAGGAAACAGACGCGCTATGCATTTCAAGGAGAAAGACTATACCGAGTACTGCACATTCTTCAAAAATTCCTGAAATCTCACTTGTTGACTTGGAAATTTCTGACTCCTTTGCCTTCAATGTTCTTTCCAGTCTTGTATGTCTGGGTCCCTCACTTTGCTGCAAATGGTTTCAAATGGCACCTTCTCCAAGAGTCCTTCCCTGAGAGCACCTTCTAGAAGTGCACCCCAATTTATTGCCCTCTGCATTCTGCAGCTTCTTTCCTCTCCTCTTTTTTCTCAGAATACCTGACATGGTATTGTACATTTCTTGATTCAGTTGTTTGTTTTGCATTTCACTAACTAGAATAATAGTGCCATAAAGGTAAGAACTCTGTGGTTTTCACCATTGAATCCCCAGCACCAAAAATAGTAATGAACATCAGTAGGAGCTCAAAAAATATTTGTAGAAAGGCAGAATCTTCATACCATTTCCTCTTTGATTGCCTTAAAGGTTATTATCCTAATCAAACGTACTCAGATTTTAGATTGCTCCACCTTCCACATCACAGCATTAATCAGACAACTGACCTTGATCCATATGTGATATTTTTTGTGGCCATTCCATGCATTCCATATAGTAGTCACCACTGCATTCAAGATAAAGGATTAGAAAAGCTCAAAAGGGAATGCTTAAAGTGAGGCATTTATCATTTCTGAAAAAGTTCTTAACACAGACTTAGAGCAGGTGAGAAGCATCCTAAAAGAAGGGTATCAATCATTGCACTGGATTTAAAAGTGAAAGTTCAGAGAATTGTTCCACTATATATTCTATATGAAGGCTTGATATCTGTGGAAGTTATCTTGTGACTTCAAAATTAACTACTAACATTATTCGGTATTACTGCAATTATGAATACAATTATAAATAATTTGCATAAATCTATCATGTTATACATCTCAGATAGCCAAAAACTGAGGCTCTAATTTTTTCTTTGTCATTTGTTTGGTTTCTAAAGTTGTGATATAATATTGAATATTGGGTTATTTCCTTTAATTCAATATTCTTAATATATTTATTTTCATTACTATTAACCATTAAAATATTAAATATTAACTCTCACAAATCCTTTGCATTTATGAAACATATTATTTTGAAGCCTGAGTGTAAATATATTTCTTAATTCTCTTAATAACTTATGAGGTATTTATTGTTTCCACTTTACAGATAAAAAAACACACACTGAAAAGATAAGCTGTTTACACAAACTCATACAAGAAAATAATCCTAGACCCTTTGATAGTAGTTTTATTATTTTTTTTCCATTGGAAAAAAATCATAGACCCAAACAGAGACACAAAAGGTAGCGTCCTTTGAGATACTAACAAGATAGCTAAAGAAATAAAATATATACTTCACACTAATTGAACTGAATAATAACATAAATGGGAGAGAAGCAGTAGCTATCATTTGTGCAGGCTACCTCTGGCACATTTTGTGGTAGATCCTTGATGCTAACCTCACTTAATATTGAACGCAAAGACATAAGGTAAGTGCTGTCATCATCAATTGAAAAATAAGGAGACTTTGCTTCGGAGTCCAAGTTTACGTGGATGATAAGCATTGAAGGCAAGACCTGAGTCCACATCTATGTGATTCTAAAGCCCACGCTCTAACACTGTGCTTTACTCTTATAAAAAGAAACATACACATTTTCCTAGATTTCAGAGAATGAGTAGTTTTATCCTTCGATGGAGGTTCCATGGAATTTTAAACAGTGATATGAACAAAGAATTGAATTGGAGGAACCTAGAAAAACTGCCAAAGTAGAGTAGACAGTATGAACTTAAAAATGAGCATAGCAACTTCTGGAAAGAGTGAGGAGATGAGCATAAAGTAGGAAATACTAAATTAAGAAGTAAAGAGAGAAAAGAATAAAGTCAGATGATGGAGGCCTAGAAAACCTAAGTAGAGAAAAATTGACCTTTTTCTATTAAGAACAGGAGATGATTTCAATGAAATTTGTGTTTAAAATCAGTCTAATTAAGGTTTATGAGTGAAAAGAAAAAGACAAGACCAGGTGCAGACACTAATCAGGAGACATACCACAATGCAAAGGAGAATGTATAGAAACCTGGAAAACTGAGGAACCAATAAAATATGATTTTAAAATACTGAAGACAGCAGGCTCAAGAAAAAGATTGGATTTGAGTTAATATGGTTTGGATGACAAAAAAGTAAATTTAGAAAGTAAGATTTTACTGAATTGTTGAAAGAGAATGGAATTTCAGGTCTAGATAATGAATAGGCCTTTGTAAAGGGAACAACGACCTCTTCTTCTCCAAATAAGCCCTGTGAGTAGATGGGTTAATGAATCAAATGATGATTTTGGCGGGGCAAAACTCTAAGCAAAATCCAGGGCATTTTAATTCCTCAAGCCAAAAGACTTGTATTCTATCTCCATCTCTGCCAGTTAACAGCAATGTCAGGGAGCAAACTGGTACCATTTTGTAAACTGAGTTGTTCAAGGTAAATTATCTCAAGGATTGTTTCATCTATTTAAAAAATGAAGTCAGTGTGTCTTGCCATCCTATGTAACACAGGACAGCATGATTTATGCAGGTGTATTCAGCACCGTCGATCTTCTTATGAAATACGTTTAACATTTCAGCTCATATCACAACATCTGGGAAAAGCGCACAGTTAAGAATTAGCCAGAAAAATGCTGAATAAAGATGAAATGATGGAGGTCGGGAATTCGAGACCAGCCTGACCAACATGGAGAAACTCCGTTTCTACTTAAGATACAAAATTAGGGAGGAGGAGCCAAGATGGCCGAATAGGAACAGCTCCAGTCTACAGCTCCTAGCGTGAGCGACGCAGAAGACGGGTGATTTCTGCATTTCCATCTGAGGTACCGGGTTCATCTCACTAGGGAGTGCCAGACAGTGGGCGCAGGCCAGTGTGTGTGCGCACCGTGCGCGAGCCGAAGCAGGGCGAGGCATTGCCTCACCTGGGAAGCGCAAGGGGTCAGGGAGTTCCCTTTCCGAGTCAAAGAAAGGGGTGACGGACGCACCTGGAAAATCGGGTCACTCCCACCCGAATATTGCGCTTTTCAGACCGGCTTAAGAAACGGCGCACCACGAGACTATATCCCACACCTGGCTCAGAGGGTCCTACGCCCACGGAATCTCGCTGATTGCTAGCACAGCAGTCTGAAATCAAACTGCAAGGCGGCAACGAGGCTGGGGGAGGGGCGCCCGCCATTGCCCAGGCTTGCTTAGGTAAACAAAGCAGCCGGGAAGCTCGAACTGGGTGGAGCCCACCACAGCTCAAGGAGGCCTGCCTGCCTCTGTAGGCTCCACCTCTGGGGGCAGGGCACAGACAAACAAAAAGACAGCAGTAACCTCTGCAGACTTAAGTGTCCCTGTCTGACAGCTTTGAAGAGAGCAGTGGTTCTCCCAGCACGCAGCTGGAGATCTGAGAACGGGCAGACTGCCTCCTCAAGTGGGTCCCTGACCCCTGACCCCGAGCAGCCTAACTGGGAGGCACCCCCCAGCAGGGGCACACTGACACCTCACACGGCAGGGTATTCCAACAGACCTGCAGCTGAGGGTCCTGTCTGTTAGAAGGAAAACTAACAACCAGAAAGGACATCTACACCGAAAACCCATCTGTACATCACCATCATCAAAGACCAAAAGTAGATAAAACCACAAAGATGGGGAAAAAACAGAACAGAAAAACTGGAAACTCTAAAACGCAGAGCGCCTCTCCTCCTCCAAAGGAACGCAGTTCCTCACCAGCAACAGAACAAAGCTGGATGGAGAATGATTTTGACGAGCTGAGAGAAGAAGGCTTCAGACGATCAAATTACTCTGAGCTACGGGAGGACATTCAAACCAAAGGCAAAGAAGTTGAAAACTTTGAAAAAAATTTAGAAGAATGTATAACTAGAATAACAATACAGAGAAGTGCTTAAAGGAGCTGATGGAGCTGAAAACCAAGGCTCGAGAACTACGTGAAGAATGCAGAAGCCTCAGGAGCCGATGCGATCAACTGGAAGAAAGGGTATCAGCAATGGAAGATGAAATGAATGAAATGAAGCGAGAAGGGAAGTTTAGAGAAAAAAGAATAAAAAGAAATGAGCAAAGCCTCCAAGAAATATGGGACTATGTGAAAAGACCAAATCTACGTCTGATTGGTGTACCTGAAAGTGATGTGGAGAATGGAACCAAGTTGGAAAACACTCTGCAGGATATTATCCAGGAGAACTTCCCCAATCTAGCAAGGCAGGCCAACATTCAGATTCAGGAAATACAGAGAACACCACAAAGATACTCCTCGAGAAGAGCAACTCCAAGACACATAATTGTCAGATTCACCAAAGTTGAAATGAAGGAAAAAATGTTAAGGGCAGCCAGAGAGAAGGGTCGGGTTACCCTCAAAGGAAAGCCCATCAGACTAACAGCGGATCTCTCGGCAGAAACCCTACAAGCCAGAAGAGAGTGGGGGCCAATATTCAACATTCTTAAAGAAAAGAATTTTCAACCCAGAATTTCATATCCAGCCAAACTAAGCTTCATAAGTGAAGGAGAAATAAAATACTTTACAGACAAGCAAATGCTGAGAGATTTTGTCACCACCAGGCCTGCCCTAAAAGAGCTCCTGAAGGAAGCACTAAACATGGAAAGGAACAACCGGTACCAGCCGCTGCAAAATCATGCCAAAATGTAAAGACCATCGAGACTAGGAAGAAACTGCATCAACTAATGAGCAAAATCACCAGCTAACATCATAATGACAGGATCAAATTCACACATAACAATATTAACTTTAAATATAAATGGACTAAATTCTGCAATTAAAAGACACAGACTGGCAAGTTGGATAAAGAGTCAAGACCCATCAGTGTGCTGTATTCAGGAAACCCATCTCACGTGCAGAGACACACATAGGCTCAAAATAAAAGGATGGAGGAAGATCTACCAAGCCAATGGAAAACAAAAAAAGGCAGGGGTTGCAATCCTAGTCTCTGATAAAACAGACTTTAAACCAACAAAGATCAAAAGAGACAAAGAAGGCCATTACATAATGGTAAAGGGATCAATTCAACAAGAGAAGCTAACTATCCTAAATATTTATGCACCCAATACAGGAGCACCCAGATTCATAAAGCAAGTCCTCAGTGACCTACAAAGAGACTTAGACTCCCACACATTAATAATGGGAGACTTTAACACCCCACTGTCAACATTAGACAGATCAACGAGACAGAAAGTCAACAAGGATACCCAGGAATTGAACTCAGCTCTGCACCAAGCAGACCTAATAGACATCTACAGAACTCTCCACCCCAAATCAACAGAATATACATTTTTTTCAGCACCACACCACACCTATTCCAAAATTGACCATATAGTTGGAAGTAAAGCTCTCCTCAGCAAATGTAAAAGAACAGAAATTATAACAAACTATCTCTCAGACCACAGTGCAATCAAACTAGAACTCAGGATTAAGAATCTCACTCAAAGCCGCTCAACTACATGGAAACTGAACAACCTGCTCCTGAATGACTACTGGGTACATAACGAAATGAAGGCAGAAATAAAGATGTTCTTTGAAACCAACGAGAACAAAGACACCACATACCAGAATCTCTGGGACGCATTCAAAGCAGTGTGTAGAGGGAAATTTATAGCACTAAATGCCTACAAGAGAAAGCAGGAAGGATCCAAAATTGACACCCTAACATCACAATTAAAAGAACTAGAAAAGCAAGAGCAAACACATTCAAAAGCTAGCAGAAGGCAAGAAATAACTAAAATCAGAGCAGAACTGAAGGAAATAGAGACACAAAAAACCCTTCAAAAAATCAATGAATCCAGGAGCTGGTTTTTTGAAAGGATCAACAAAATTGATAGACTGCTAGCAAGACTAATAAAGAAAAAAAGAGAGAAGAATCAAATAGACACAATAAAAAATGATAAAGGGGATATCACCAACGATCCCACAGAAATACAAACTACCATCAGAGAATACTACAAACACCTCTACGCAAATAAACTAGAAAATCTAGAAGAAATGGATACATTCCTCGACACATACACTCTCCCAAGACTAAACCAGGAAGAAGTTGAATCTCTGAATAGACCAATAACAGGCTCTGAAATTGTGGCAATAATCAATAGTTTACCAACCAAAAGGAGTCCAGGACCAGATGGATTCACAGCCGAATTCTACCAGAGGTACAAGGAGGAACTGGTACCATTCCTTCTGAAACTATTCCAATCAATAGAAAAAGAGGGAATCCTCCCTAACTCATTTTATGAGGCCAGCATCATTCTGATACCAAAGCCGGGCAGGGACACAACCAAAAAAGAGAATTTTAGACCAATATCCTTGATGAACATTGATGCAAAAATCCTCAATAAAATACTGGCAAACCGAATCCAGCAGCACTTCAAAAAGCTTATCCACCATGATCAAGTGGGCTTCATCCCTGGGATGCAAGGCTGGTTCAATATACGCAAATCAATAAATGTAATCCAGCATATAAACAGAGCCAAAGACAAAAACCACATGATTATCTCAATAGATGCAGAAAAAGCCTTTGACAAAATTCAACAACCCTTCATGCTAAAAACTCTCAATAAATTAGGTATTGATGGGATGTATTTCAAAATAATAAGAGCTATCTATGACAAACCCACAGCCAATATCATACTGAATGGGCAAAAACTGGAAGCATTCCCTTTGAAAACTGCCACAAGACAGGGATGCCCTCTCTCACCGCTCCTATTCAACATAGTGTTGGAAGTTCTGGCCAGGGCAATCAGGCAGGAGAAGGAAATAAAGGGTATTCAATTAGGAAAAGAGGAAGTCAAATTGTCCCTGTTTGCAGATGACATGATTGTTTATCTAGAAAACCCCACTGTCTCAGCCCAAAATCTCCTTAAGCTGATAAGCAACTTCAGCAAAGTCTCAGGATACAAAATCAATGTACAAAAATCACAAGCATTCTTATACACCAACAACAGACAAACAGAGAGCCAAATCATGGGTGAACTCCCATTCACAATTGCTTCAAAGAGAATAAAATACCTAGGAATCCAACTTACAAGGGATGTGAAGGACCTCTTCAAGGAGAACTACAAACCACTGCTCAATGAAATAAAAGAGGACACAAACAAATGGAAGAACATTCCATGCTCATGGGTAGGAAGAATCAATATCGTGAAAATGGCCATACTGCCCAAGGTAATTTACAGATTCAATGCCATCCCCATCAAGCTACCAATGACTTTCTTCACAGAATTGGAAAAAACTACTTTAAAGTTCATATGGAACCAAAAAAGAGCCCGCATCGCCAAGTCAATCCTAAGCCAAAAGAACAAAGCTGGAGTTATCACACTACCTGACTTCAAACTATACTACAAGGCTACAGTAACCAAAACAGCATGGTACTGGTACCAAAACAGAGATATAGATCAATGGAACAGAACAGAGCCCTCAGAAATAATGCCGCATATCTACAACTATCTGATCTTTGACAAACCTGAGAAAAACAAGCAATGGGGAAAGGATTCCCTATTTAATAAATGGTGCTGGGAAAACTGGCTAGCCATATGTAGAAAGCTGAAACTGGATCCCTTCCTTACACCTTATACAAAAATCAATTCAAGATGGATTAAAGATTTAAACGTTAGACCTAAAACCATAAAAACCCTAGAAGAAAACCTAGGCATTACCATTCAGGACATAGGCGTGGGCAAGGACTTCATGTCCAAAACACCAAAAGCAATGGCAACAAAAGCCAAAATTGACAAATGGGATCTAATTAAACTAAAGAGCTTCTGCACAGCAAAAGAAACTACCATCAGAGTGAACAGGCAACCTACAACATGGGAGAAAATTTTCGCAACCTACTCATCTGACAAAGGGCTAATATCCAGAATCTACAATGAACTCAAACAAATTTACAAGAAAAAAACAAACAACCCCATCAAAAAGTGGGCGAAGGACATGAACAGACACTTCTCAAAAGAAGACATTTATGCAGCCAAAAAACACATGAAGAAATGCTCATCATCACTGGCCATCAGAGAAATGCAAATCAAAACCACTATGAGATATCATCTCACACCAGTTAGAATAGCAATCATTAAAAAGTCAGGAAACAACAGGTGCTGGAGAGGATGTGGAGAAATAGGAACACTTTTACACTGTTGGTGGGACTGTAAACTAGTTCAACCATTGTGGAAGTCAGTGTGGCGATTCCTCAGGGATCTAGAACTAGAAATACCATTTGACCCAGCCATCCCATTACTGGGTATATACCCAAAGGACTATCAATCATGCTGCTATAAAGACACATGCACACATATGTTTATTGCGGCACTATTCACAATAGCAAAGACTTGGAACCAACCCAAATGTCCAACAATGATAGACTGGATTAAGAAAATGTGGCACATATACACCATGGAATACTATGCAGCCATAAAAAATGATGAGTTCATATCCTTTGTAGGGACATGGATGAAATTGGAAACCATCATTCTCAGTAAACTATCGCAAGAACAAAAAACCAAACACCGCATATTCTCACTCATAGGTGGGAATTGAACAATGAGATCACATGGACACAGGAAGGGGAATATCACACTCTGGGGACTGTGGTGGGGTCGGGGGAGGGGGGAGGGATAGCATTGGGAGATATACCTAATGCTAGATGACACATTAGTGGGTGCAGCGCACCAGCATGTCACATGTATACATATGTAACTAACCTGCACATGGTGCACATGTACCCTAAAACTTAGAGTATAATAAAAAATAAAAATAAAAAAATAAAAAAATAAAAAAAGATGAAATGATACACGTGTGAAAGATCTTCTTGAGACTGAGTTATATATAGAATCTTTGTGAGAGAATTTTGCTAGCAAATTATGGCTTATTGGTATCATTTGAAAAGACAGCGATCTATTTTATAGAGTAGCTAGGCTTCATCTGTTATTTTCCAATCCCCAGTGATCAATAATAGTAATGCTATGTTCTGATCTTTGTTATTTATATTCTTCTGCTAGCATTAGGTTTAGTTTGTTTTTGTTTTTCTAGTTCCTTGAGGTGTGATGATAGGTTGTTAACTTGAGAACTTTCTATCTTATTGATGTAGGCATTTAACACTATAAACTTTCCTGTTGGTACTGCTTTTTCTGTATCCCAGAGGTTTTCAGTATGTTGTGTATCCATTTTCATTCATTTCCTTTTTTTTTTTTTTTTTTTGAGACTGAGTCTCGCTCTGTCGCCCAGTCTGGAATGCAGTGGCGCGATCTTGGCTCAGTGCAAGCTCCGCCTCCCGGGATCAGGCCATTCTCCTGCCTCAGCCTCCCGAGTACCTGGGACTACAGGCGCCTGCCACTGCGCCCGGCTAATTTTTTGTATTTTTAGTAGAGACAGCGTTTCACCGTGTTAGCCAGGATGGTCTCGATCTCCTGACCTCGTGATCCACCTGCCTCGGCCTCCCAAAGTGCTGGGATTACAGGCGTGAGCCACTGCACCCGGCCTCATTTCCTTTTTTAAAAAAAAATTTTGCTTCAATTGCCTTGTTTATCCAAAAGTCATTCGAGAGTGAGTTATTGTATTTCCATGTATTTGTGTAATTCTGAGAGTTCCTCTCAATTTTTCAGTGGCAATTGTAAATGAGATTGAGTTCTTGATGTGGTTCTCAACTCTCATTTATGTTATTATTTTATTTCTTTAGAAGTCTTGTTAGTATCTTGAAGACTCTATCTTTTGTGTCTCTGTTTGGGTCTATGACTTTTTTTCCAATGGAAAAAAAAATACTAAAACTATTATCAATGGTCTAAGATTATTTTCCCTTATGAGTACAGCTTATCTTTTCAGTGTGTTATTTTTTAATCTGCAAAATGGAAACAATACATAACATCATAAGTTATTAATAGAATGAAGAAATATAGTATTTACACACAGGCTTCAAAATAACATATTTTATAAATGCAAAGGATTTGTGACAGTTTATATTTAATATTTTAGTGGCTGATACTAATGAAATAAAATATATTAAGAATATTGAATTAAAGAAAACAACCCAGTATTCAATATTATATTGCAACTTTAGAAACCAAACAAATGATGAAGAAAAAATTAGAGCTTCAGTTTTTGGTTATTTGAGATGTATAACATGATAGCTATATGCAAATTATTCACAACTGTATTCATAATTGCAGTAATTCTGAAGAATGTTAGCAATTAACTTCAAAGTCACAAGATAATTTCCACAGATATCAAGCCTTCATATAGAATATATAGTGGAACAATTCTCTGAGCTTTTACTTTTAGATCCAGTGCAATGATTGATATCCTTCTTTCAGGATGCTGTAAGTCTGTGTTAAGAACTTTTTCATAAATGATAAATGCCTCACTTTAAGCATTCCCTTTTGAGCTTTTCTGATCCTTTATCTTGAACGCAGTGGTAACTACTATATAGAATGCATGGAATGGCCATAAAAAATATCACATATGGCCCAAGGTCAGTGGTCTGATTAATGTTGTGATGCTGAACGTGGAGCAATCTAAAATTTGCGTACTTTTGATTAGGATAATAATAAAATATCTGGCAATACATTTAACGAAGAAGGGGAAAGATCTTTACAAGGAGAACTACAAAACACTGATGAAAGAAATTGTAGATGATACAAATAGAAATGGCCTAATGTGTATGAGCCTAGGGCTTCTGGGGAGGGACTCTCTATCATGCCTTCTGTCCCAGGATGTCAAAGCCAAAAGGATCAAGGTCCCCTGAAATAAAATCACTGAAAAGGTATGTTCTCTTATATGTTATTTAAAAATTTTATCTGATGCCACCAAAGAATGACAGCAGTTTCTAACCAACTTCATATTTATAGCATCATATTAAGGTATTATAAGGCTTAGCATATTTTGCCCTGGTTTTCTTTGTAATGTAGGTTGAAAGGGAGACATGTTTGAGTGCTTTTGTACGTAACTATCTCCCATGCTTTTTCTATCTCTTCTTGGTCTATATTTACTAAAAATTGATATAAAAAAACAGTTCACTAATGAGCTCTTCATATTATTGAACACTCACAAGGTAATATTGATTTGGGTGCTACCAGACTTTTAACTAACATTAGTTTTTCTCAATAGTTCTTGTAAAGGACAGCATTCAATCCAGTAAATATTAAAGTGTACTAGTTTAAGGAAGGTTATTTATATACTGTCATACCACAAAGCAATGATGGAAAGAACATCTGTGTTCACCAGAACGTACTTTCTTCCTTTGGCTGTGAATAAATTGGATAGGACTATTTTATTCTAAGTTCTGGCTATTGGGAGATATGGGGATAAGATTGACATTGCTGTCGCAGTATTGCAAAAACATGACTAATTTGGTTAATTATGTCTACCATTTATGTTTAAGAGATCCTTTCACTAACTTAAATTGTTAACTTTTAATTTCACTAACTTAAGTTGTTGTGATATTGAGAAAGAATTTTAACCTAAACAGTCACTTTACAACAATCATGTAAAGACGAGTGTGCCTGCAGTTGAGGTTTTTTTGCATTTCTGAGCCCACTTTGTATTCATGAGAAACAAAAACATAATGGGAGAAAAGTTTTAAATAACCAGTATTGTAAGTTTTCATAAAGTTTGGGACTTCAAAGTATTAACGAAGGATACTGAAAACATACTGGACTTTTACTTTGGTCAAATTACTTTCTATGATCTGATTTCTTAATTTTCTGTATTTGAAGTCTTGCCAATTAGGAATATCTATATCTATATATAAACAGATAACTAAAACTTAATGGTAAAAATAAGTGTAATTCAGTAAAATGATTCAACAGTTTTTATTTTTAGAATAAGTTATCGCTTATTGCATTGATATCATATTTATATATTGCCTTGCAATGCTAAATGCTCTAAAAAGAATATTTAGGCTACTTCCATTCTATGACCTTCTTCCCCCTCCCCCAGGATATACAAAAGATCTTATATTAACTAATTCTCTATGTGAATTTTGCCATATCAAACATTGTGCCTTATTTTATTAAAACTGTTTTGTTGGAATCCAATTCTGTATTAAAGTCTCTATAATGTTAAAAAAAAAAAAAGAAAAGAAAAACATCTCATGCTCATAGATTGGAAGAATCCATATCATTAAAATAACCATATTGCCCGGAGAAATCTACAAATTCAACACAATTTCTATCAAATCACCTATGTCAGCGTCACATAATTAGAAAAAAACAATTCTAAAATTCATATGGAACCAAAAAAGAGCCCAAATAGCCAAAGCCATTCTAACAACAACAAGAAAAACAAAGCCAGAGGCATCACATTACCTGACTCAAAAAAAGTTACTATAAAAAGTTATACTAATTAAATCAGCATGGTACTGGTACAAAAATAGACACACAGATCAATGGAACAGAATAGAGAACCCCAAAATAAAGCCACATACCTACAACAACTGATCTTCAACAAAGTTGACAAAAATAATGGGGAAATACCCTACTCAATAAATGGTGCTGGGGAAATTGACTGGCCATATGAAAAAGAATGAACTGGCCCCCTATCTCTCACCACATTCAAAAATTAACTCAAGATGGAATAAAGACTTAATAAGACCTGAGAGTTCAAAAATCCTAGAAGTAAACCTAGAAAAAAACTTTTCTGGACTTTGGCATAGGAAGAGAATTTATAACAAAGACCCCAAAAGCAAATGCAACAAAAACAAAATAGACAAATGAGCCTTAATTAAACTAAGAAGCTTCTGCATAGCAAAAGAAATAATCAACCAAATAAACAGGCAACCTACAGAATGTGAGAAAATATTAGCAAATTATGCCTCCAGCAAAAGACTAACATCCAGCATCTACAAGGAACTCAAACAAGAAAAAAAAACGAACAACTCCATTAAAAAATGAGCAAAGGATATGAACAGACAGTTCTGAAAAGAAGACATACAAGCAGCCAACAAACACATGAAAAAAAAGTTTAACATCACTAATTATCAGACAGATGCAAATTAAAACACAATGAGATATCATCGTACACTAGTTAGAGTAGCTATTAATAGAAAGTCAAAAAACAACAAATGTTGGCATGAATATGGAAGAAACGAAATACTTATACACTGTTGGTGGAAATGTAAATTAGTTCAACCTCTATGGAAAACAGTATGGAGATTTCTCAGTGAATTACGGAAAGAACTACCACTTGACCCAGCAATCCCATTACTGGGTATCTACCCAAATGAAAAGAAATAATTATATTAAAAAGATACCTCCATGTCACAGCAGGTATATATTTATCACAGCACTATTCACAACAGCAAAGTCATGGAACCATGGTAAGTGTCCATCAATAGTTGATTGGATAAAAAAAAAAGTAAGATATATATTTATGTGTATGGTATCTTTTATGGCCGTATGGTATTTATATGGTATAGCCCCATCTCAAAATACAATACAGCCATAAAAAAAAATAATAAAATTATGTCATTTGCAGCAACATTAGTAGAGCTGGAAGCCATTATCATATGTAACGTAACTCAGAAGCAGAAAATCAAATACTGCATGTTTTCACTTGTAAGTGGAAGCTTATAAATTGGTACATATGGACATAAAGATGGAAATAGTGGACACTAGAGACTCCAAAAGTGGGGAGGAGTGAGGGTTGAATAATTGGGTACAATGTTTGCTATTATGGGGATTGATACACTAGAAGCCTAATCCCCACCATTATGCAATATACCCAGGTAAAAACTCTGCACATGTACTCCCTGAGCCTAAAATAAAATTAAATGGAAAAAATAAAAATAGTAATAGCGATGCTGTTTTAAGGATGAATCTGAGCCTAAATTATACTTAGCATAAAAAAAAAAGTAGCATGATTAGTTTGTAATGTCTGCCATGTCTGTGGGTGGGAAATCTATTCATCACTCTGACAGTCTGTATATTTTGATCCCTGAGTTATATTTTACACTCTGATTAAAAATACTTTTAAAATCCAACCTGTCCTAATCCAGGGAGTCCAATCTTCTTTACTTCATAGTTTATTGTTGAGTTTCAGTGTTCTAAAATGCTGACATTTTTCTTCTTCATTTTTAATAATCATCTTTACCATCCTAAATAGTAATATTTTCTCAGCATGAAAAAGACTGTCAATAAAAAGTGACTAAAATTCTGAAAGCAATTGCAACTTTTAGGCCGAATTATGTTTTGGATTATCTGTTAACTTTATTTTCTTATTCTAAACTGACTCCCATTAGTGTGGAAAACAAAATAAATTTTTCAGTCAGCATTATTTCTTCACAATCTTTTAAAGTTATTTCCCTTGACAGGTTTTTATTCCTAAGATTTATCTATATATAATAAGTTACAATAATATAGAAAGTTTTAGTATAATCATAATAAAAATGTGGATATATGAAAAGTATATTTAGTAGTAAGGAACATTCTCAGGTAAGTTTAATTATTTTAGCAGCCAAAGAATCTGCCTTTTTAAGCTGAACTCAGAACAGGAAATGTATTACATAAAGCACAATCTAATTGGGTATTCAGTGTGAATAACTTCATTAAGACTTCAGGATAAAGATATTATTTTCAAGCAGGGTCAGAGGGATAAATTAGGTAACAAAGAAAGTCATTAACTGGAAGTAGCCCTCTTAACTTACTTTAATCATAATTATTGTTAATAAAACCACCTAATCTACAAGATTAATTTCTCATAATCAATTAGGCTAGCAAAAAAAAGGTTTATTAGGAGGTCAGGCATCTAAAGATTAACATCTTTCAAATAATTATTCAGCAAATATTTATTTAATACCAACTATATGCAAGGTACTGTGGAGAATACAAAGAGTGATAAAACACACTATCTATCCTCAAGACACTTAAGGTTACAGCAAAAGCCATAAAATTTATAAAAGAATATCTTTTATGATTTTCTACTTAGGTGAATAATGCCAAAAACTGGCAGAGCTACAGAAGTTCTGAGGGAAGTTAGAATATTCTTCATGGAGACGGTAGCTCTTGAAAAGCCTGAGAAACATGGATAGAAATTACTAGTGGAAAAGTGAAGGAAGTCGGCTTCCAGATAGAAATAAAATTATTCACAAGGATATAGAAACAGAAAGATGTGAGAAAGATCTGAGTTAATTTGGCTGGAGCCTATGATTAATAAAGGAGCACAGTAGAAGGTAATATAAGGAAGTTTTGGGCCAGGCGCGGGGGCTCACGCCTGTAATCCCAGCACTTTGGGAGGCCGAAGCGGGTGGATCACGAGGTCAGGAGATCGAGACCATCCTGGCGAACACTGTGAAACCCCGTCTCTACTAAAAATATAAAAAATTAGCCAGGCGTGGTGGTGCATGCCTGTAGTCCCAGCTACTCAGGAGGCTGCAGCAGGAGAATGGCGTGAACCCAGGAGGCAGAGATTGCAGTGAGCCGAGATTGCGCCACTGCACTCCAGCCTGGGCAACAGAGCAAGACTCCATCTCAAAAGAAAAAAAAAAAGAAAGTTTTGATGCAAATTATGATAATGCTTTATACATCTAAATTACATCTTATTTAAGAGACATTAAGAAAGAAGCCAATAAGAAATTTTGAGTAATAGAGTTGCAATGATCATAACTGTGCCTCAAGATAATGGCACAGTCAGGTAGTGGAGGTACAAGAAGCAGGGACTTCTGGTAAGAGGCTTTCATAAGAGATTGAAGGAGACAAAATTAGTGCTTGAGTTAGAAAAATGACATGCAGAAACTGAAGACAAGGTAGTTCTCATCATATATCATTATCAATAAGAAAAAATATTTTTAGTCCTCTTTGGTAGGTAGAACAAGAAGATGGCCCCTAAGATTTTTGCCCTCTAGCTCTTTATCATCCCCAAGACAGTGAATATGATGAAACTTTTCTCTTGTGCTTCAGTTATTATACAAGGCACAATTTTAGAATGGGAAATTGTGTTTGGTGGGCCTGACCTAATCAGTTGAGCCCTCAAAAGAGATGGGGCTATTCCCACGGCAAGAGATTCAATTGTGCGAGGGTTGTGATACCAGGGATACCTTCTATTGTGGTACATGAAGGAAAAAACGTCATAGGGTCATGAATATAAGTGACTCTAAGAGCTAAGAATGGCTTGTGGCTGCTGCCAGATGGCAATGTGCTACAACCACAGTCCCACAGCCACAGGGAACTGAATTTGGCTAACAACCTGAATCAGCTTGAATGCTGATTCTTACGCAGAGCTCCCGGAATGGAATACAGGATAACCAAAACTCTGATTTCAATCTGAGCAAGGAATTTAGCCACACCACACCTGTACTTCTGAGATAATAAATAGTTGTTTGTTTAAGCCACAAAGTGTTTGGCAGTTTTTAATGCACTAGAAAACTAACACACCCTGAGAAATAATTAAAATATCCCATAATGTAAAGTAGGAAGTGTTATATACTAAGAAAAGCCGCATACACAAAAAAATCTCAGTATGAAAGTTGATTAATCCTAAACTAGACCTCTTGGAAACGTGGAAATTGGAAATTCTCACCTCTTTGTAATGCGCTGCAAAATAAAAATTCATCTGTTTGCTTTGAGAATATTTTGCCCTTCTTTTCTTAAAAAATAGCTTCTTTTTTTTAAGTTAATGTGATTGTCGTTATGTGTTTTGTTGGTTTTGATGTAGATTTACAAAGTCAAAACTTAACAAAAGGTGAAGTAGACTATATTGTCTCTTGTGCACTCACTTTTATTTAAATCTTCTTTCCTAAGATTCCCTGAGGGCTATGGCCCAACAAGCCTGAGCATCACAAAGTGGTACCCATACTAGTGCCCCAACCCGGAATCTCCTCCTCAAAATATCCCCTAGTAGATTTGGCCTGTACTTTTCTCTTTTCCCAAGATCTGCAACTCTTTCTGGCAATCATATCTAATCAGTGCTAAAATGTGAAAGTTTTATTCTTCAAATGAATATATTCAATTAATAAGAGCTTTGTGGAGAAAATGACTTTACTTTGACTATGTAAATGATTTTAATATTTAAGAGGAGAGACCAAAATCACTGGACGGTTAAAAAAAAAATACATAAGAGGATATGGATTATTTGATGACAGGGTATCTAAATTTACTTGCTTGTCTTTGAATAGAAGCCTTCATGGTCATTCTACTTGTCAGTAGATACCTTTAATAGAGTATTTCTTCATCAACATATGAAATAACTTAACAATAAATAGGTCTTCTGATGTCTGAATTACAATCTCTGAATGGAAAAAATGTTTTTTCCTAATCATGGCATCTCTGTGGTAAATGATAATGAAACTAAGGTTTTAATGCTATTTAATGGGGAAAATCCTTGTATTATAAACTACAAAACATTATAAAGGTAGTGAAAAATGTAAATTCTATTTAGATGAATAATAATCTAGTTAGGAAACTAGAAAAAACAAACAAAAATGCATTTTTAACACCAGTGACAGTTATTAACATACAAATATAGCAATTGCTGGTCAGGAATGTACAAAAATATAAAGTATTTTATTCATCCATGGACTTGTGTGTCTACTCTACTAGATAGTCCTTCCTTCAGTGAACTGTGAGGAAGAATCAGTTCCATGCCTCTCACCTAGTTTGTAGTAATTTTCTGGTGGTCTTTGACATTCCTTGGCTTGTAGAAACATCACACTGATCTCTGCCTTGGTCTTCATGTGGCATTCTCTCTCAGTTTGTGTGGGTGAGTTTGTATGTGTATATAACAAAAAAATTTCTATTTTTTCATAAGGACATTAGCCTTATTGCATTGGAGGCCCACTCTACTTCGACATAACCTCATTTTAACTGATCACATCTGCAATGGCCCCATTTCCTCATATGATCACATGCTGAGGTACTGGGCATTAGGATTTTAACATATGAATTTGGGGAGGACATGATGCAACCCATAACACACAGGAAACACATGCCCGAATGACATGGATTCTGCTCTCTCTAAATGAATTTGCAATCAAGAGGAGAACAAAACACAGGCAAATACATGCAATTTACTGAGGTAAATGTCATTAAGAAATCTGGAAGAAATACTTATGAGAACAGACAAAAAGAGATGTCAATGAAAATGATTAATATGAATGAGTATCATGCCACAGAAGACATATCATTTAAACTTCTTTTCAAAGAACAAAATAGTCACAAAAAGAGAAAGAGAAAAGGGTATTTCAAACACAGGAAAACAACATACGCAAATAAAAAGAGGTAGTTATCTCTGAGTAGCTCAGAACAACAGCCAGTCTAGGAACTATGGGGTATTGCAGGGTGCAGGTGGCAAAAGGCAAGACTAAAGGAAGTTGGTGTTCATTTGCTGAGGAATCTTGAGAGACATCCTAAAAAACTTTCAATGTATCCAGCATAACAACTATCCCAATGTTGGGATTTGATGGAAGACCATCAGATATTTTTCAGTGAGAGAATTACAACTTCCCACCTGTATTTTATTTTAAAGTTTCAGAGAATGAAGGACAAAGGGCACAAAGAGATCAGGGGAGTTGTTTTTAACTGGAATTACAAGAGCTAGAAACGACACTGGTCTAAAATTTTCCACGTTTCATTTTGGTTTACATTAATATGATTTTTGATGTCTACATTTCTAAGGGATTAGGTACATTAGCTATGTCCCCACAAATTACTTATTAATAAAGTATAAAGTACTATTGCATCAGGTTCTAATCCGCCTAATTGTGCTATGATGGGGGCAAGGGGTGTGTGCTGGAAGGTTTCACAGTGTCTTAATGGCAAATTAAATGCTTTCAAATTCATGATTTTTGCAAAGTTTTCACACACC
Source organism: Homo sapiens (assembly GCF_000001405.40). Taxonomy (NCBI): domain Eukaryota; kingdom Metazoa; phylum Chordata; class Mammalia; order Primates; family Hominidae; genus Homo; species Homo sapiens. The sequence goes on from NC_000005.10 coordinate 86,526,754, forward strand.
AAAAATCATGCAAATATATTCAACACGTAGTCAGTAATAAGTTGGGGGTGGTGGGGAGTGCACAACTGAACCACAGTGAGTAGCTCAGGAGATCAGCACCCTAGGGCGGGGCTGGGGAAGTGTTGCTGCTCTTTGCCCAACAGAGCTTCCAACAACTGATACTGGTGATAAAGAGGCCTCAGACTTCTCATGGGCAGAGCTTCTGCAGGTGCCTTGGCCACAGTTTCTTTGTGGTTTTTATGGCCCCCGACAGCAGTGGCTCTAGACATTATCTCTACTGCCTTTTGGCTTCACTTTCTTGTCAGGCCACAGCAAGTGTTCTCTTATCCCCTTTGTACACTATACATATGCTTATCTCTTTGAGGGGTCAGCAATTTCACTGTAGGCTGAGTCACTTGTCATAAGTGACTTCATTTTGAGTCACTTAAGATTATAAAATATTATTATATATCAAATACTCACTTTACAGTGGAGAAACTGGCAGATACCACCTTGACAAAGTGATGAAAGTTAACATCATGTATCATTTATCATTATATTGCCTCTGATGCGGTTCACTGAGAAAATATCACTTTTGCAGTATTCCTGCCAAAACTCTATAACCTGATCTAATCAAAAGGAAACATATCAGACAAGTTCAAACTGAGGAATGTTCTACAAAACAACTAACCTGTACTTTAACTGTAAAGTCAATATCTTGAAAGACAAATGGAGCTAAAGAACTATCCCAAAATAAAGGAGATAAAAGAGGCAATGATAGTCAAACAGGTGTGTGATCCTGGATTTGGTGATTGAGCAGGAAAAGCAAAAGCTATTGAGATAATTTCAAAGTTTGAATATGGATTGCACATCAGGAAATTGTATTATATTTGTGTTAAATTGTCTGACTTTGATAATTACAAAACAATAACCTGCTTTTATAAAATACAGCCAGAAGTAAAAGGACATGATGTCACTCTCAAGTGATTCAGAAAAAAATACAGATCTATTATACGTATAAAGTACCACTCAGCTCTTGCATTTTGTGATTGTTTTTGCTGTTATACTTTGCTAGAATGTAATAAATACATGTACATTAGGTGTTCCATGGGTACTTTGCATACTCTAGAATCTTAGATAGTTATACCACCTCTTTGAGTGGCTGAAGCTTCCCTCATCTACCCAACCTCCCTCCTGACTAATTATTAACCTCTTTTATCTATTATTATACCTCACACATATGATATGTTGATCATATTTCATATTAAGCATTTGCACATCCATTTCATTCTCTAGACTACTATCACCTTGAAAATGGATTCCACATTTCAGGTAACTTTGTATCACCACTACCTAAAATAAGCCTGGAATACAACCAGTAACTGATTTTGAAATGAATTAAGGAATGAGTAGAACTACGTATGATTTTTAGTAATAATTATAATTGAAATTCTTGATCCAATATTTGTCTAGACATGCATATCTTCATTCCAAAACTGTAGGTTAAGGATGTTACCGTAAGTGAAATTTAGTAGACTGAAAATAGATGCTTATGTCTTCTCGTTATTCTACCTTTGGTAAATAAATGTATTTAAAGCCTATCATTCCTAAAGGAACTCACTTAACTTCAGCAAGTATTATCCTATCAAATAAAAGAGATCCAATATTTTTAAAAACATCCAAGCCAGGACTACTTCATAACATGATAAAGATTATATTGACAGTAAAATTACTTGGCTCCAGTTGGTTAAATATGGCTGGTTACTTTTTCGGTTAGACTAAATAAGAAAATCCACATGCACCTAGAATATGTTTCCAATTATGCTCTTGGAAATCTGATCAAATGATTTATAAAATCCATGAATTGGAGCTTTCTTTCTTGACATGAGTCCTCAATTTCCTCAAAGCTAGAATGATGGAATGTAATTATTCTGCTTTGCTACTCTGACAAGGAATGCATTCAATCATCAATTAGGAATTAGCACATGTATAGTTTCAATTATATTGATTAATCACCAGCAACTTTTTAATACAAAATTTAGTTACAGTCTATCATGCCTTGATAATTAAAATGCACTTTGGTTTGTTGTTTCTTACTGACTTGTAGAAAAACAAGTAAAGTCATAAAATCTTCTTGCATTGTATGTTATTTATTTCTACTAATCATGAGTGAGAGTTTGCCTATATTTAGAACATTATAAAATCTAGACAAATATTATCACTATCATTACCACTTCCACCTCCATTTATCATTTTTCTACTATAGCATAATTATGAGGAACATCTTCCTAAACTACATCATGGATAGGAAAACATAACTCTTGCAAAAATTCAGTTTGCCTTTAAGATAAGAAGCATAGCATGGGAAAAATTTGGACACTTTAAAGCAAGTCTTCACAGTTTCAGTCTTCTGTTTGTGTACTTGTTCCCTTCCCTTTGATAGTAACCACCATACACCCAACTCAGGACACGTATAGGGTTGCTCTACTAATCTTTACTACAAGTAAAAGTGGGAAAAGATCTGAATTCACTCATTATGTCTGCTGATTTACCGAATATACTTGAGATATGAGGATAATACCAGCAGTTGCACATTACTGAGCAATAAGTATGTGCCAGGGTCCTAGTCAAATTCTTCACATCTGTCGACAATTTAATTTTCACACTTTCAAGTAGGTATCAGGCTCATCCATATTTTGCAGAAGAAGAAGCTGAGGTTCAAGAGGTGAGATATATGGTTCGACTTTACCCAATTAGGAAGTAGCAGAGAGTAAACTCAAGGCCAGATCTGCCTTACTCCATAGCCCACACTTTTCAAATATATGTTTTATTGCCTTTTTAGGTGGATCAAGATTGCATAAAGGGAAAACAGGTGTTAACTCCAGGATGTGGGTATGGAAATACAGCAAGAGCAGAGGCTTGTATTAGTTGAACTCTAACAGTGGAGGAGTTCTACTCAGAACATGGTGGGTGTGGGCAGTAGCTATGAGATTAGAATGCATGTTGTGACTAATGAGGATTAAGTTTTATGTGGTATCAGATAAAATTTTCAGCACCACCAGTCGTGAAAGTGTTGAAGAAATAACAACAAAAAAGAGAAGAGCTATAAAATTTTAGCTTGGCTATGTAAAATTATAATCATCTGTTGTCCATTCAAGCTTAATTACCATGTAGCACAACAGCAATTATGCATATCATTAAGTAGATGCTAGATTAACTTATGTACATTTTACTTGATCAAAGCAGTAAAGTGCAGTTAGCAGTATGTTCAAGCTTTACAGTTTGTGGCTCATGTAACAATAATCTACTCAAACTTTTAAAATACTAGGAGATATGTTGATTATGAAGCTTTACAATATCAAATTGGTTAATCAATTTTATAATCATATATAAACAGTGGAAATGCAGCTGTTAATCTGGCTATATGCTATGTACTCTGCTAAAATATTTCACAGAAGGAAAATATCTTCCTTAATGGCAGAAGTGAAGTCTGGCAATTATCTTTAAAATTCAGCTTTTAACACCATTATCATTTTATTTTACCACCCAAAATTTAGAATTTATTTTATCTAGAAAAATATAACTAAGTTAATTTTGATTAATGCTATCTGGAGGGTAGAGATTACTTTAGCTATATATACTTCTGTGTTTTAAAAGTTTGTCTTAATTTTTTAGCTTTATAATAAAATATTGAAGAACTGATATATCTGTGCTATTATCAATTGAATGAGGCATTACATTGGAGCAGATTAAACCTGTGAGCCCTGCAGAGCTTTCTGAGATTACATCTTCCTTCTGATGCTTCAAACTATGTTCCCTTCATCTATCTGGACCTCAGTTTCCTCATCTATAAAACGTGCATTAAGAATGGTACTGAATAGTACCTACTGCATAATGTCACTGGGAAGACTGCATGAGATAGCCCACTTAATGCACTCAACTATGTTCCTGATACATTAAAAGTATTCAAAAAAAGGTCATCAACTGTTTATTGAGTGGCCCATTTTTCTATTTGTTTCTTTGACTTAATCATTTTTAGGGATGCCCATTTTACAAGTTAAAAACTGGTAATTGGCAGGTATTTATATAAAAATTCTTAATATATGGCTATTTGCAATAATTTTAAAAAAAATTTTTAGATGAAATCTGGCCATTTCAAAGCTACTACAAACTCTACTACCTGCTGCCCAAGCCCCAGATAAAGTCTGGCGACAGATTCCTGGTGCCACACTATTGAAGAGCCTTCAAAAAAGCAGTTTGGACTAGGGAAAGATAGAGAATCATATGGAGAACATGCTTTAATATAAGGTTAAAGGCACATTGGGCATTCTGGTAAAATATTTTTAAGAGACGGAATACATGTCTTTATTACTTTTTTGCCTCAATTTTATTATTTGTAAACTGAATGACTTAATCTAAACTGATTTTTAAAGGCCATTCTTTCTCTTAAAGAACTAAGTGTCTAAGAAAAATCTGAAATTCCATGAACTGAAAGAAGAAAGACAGTTGTAGATTATTCCAGAGATCAGCATCAGGAAGAATTAATGAAGTTAGAGAGAGGCAGATTTTTTAATATGTTACAAAGTAGAACTTTCAGATAACCAAAAAAGAGAGTTAAGTAATCAACTATTAGGGATTTTTAAACACATGAGCAGGGATTTAAGTAGGCAAATGGAAAAGTAAGCTCTACCATCCCATCCAGCTTCCACCATTATTTACTCATGTTAAATAAAATATTTCTAGCATTTTCTATAAATTTACTTGCAATAAGAGCTTTTTAAATTTGAGATCCTGGGGCCAGGCGCGGTGTCTCATGCCTGTAATCCCAGCACTTTGGGTGGCCAAGGCGGTGGATCACCTGAGGTCAGGAGTTTGAGACCAGCCTGGCAAACATGGTGAAACCCTGTCTCTACTAAAAATACAAAAATTAGCCGGGCATGGTGGTGTGTCCCTGAAGTCCCAGCTACTTGAGAGGCTGAGACAGGAGAATCACTTGAACCTGCGAGACGGAGGTTGCAGTGAGGATTTTGAGATCCCACCACTTTACTCCAGCCTGGGTAACAAAGTGAGACTGTCTCAAAAAAAAAAATTATTTGAGATCCAGCGGCTTCAAGTATAGAACTTCAGAGGCTAAACTTTCTGAAAATTATATATTAAAAAAATTCTGTGTGTATGTGCAGTTTTTCAGGGAGAAATGGCCTTCATTTTTATCAGACTTTCAAACAAATCAATATTAGAGTCATTGATTTAAATAATAATTCCTTTAGTGTACAAAAAGCTAGAAATAAAGCCAGCACATAAAGTGAGATGCTTCTAAAAAGAGTTGTGTTAAAAACATTTATCTGCAGGTATTTTTTTACTAAATGTTTTGTTATAAATCCTATTTTTAAATGGATTTATAGATTAGATGTAAAAAATGGCTAGGTGAATGTAGTGATTAAATACCTAATAGTTCTTTAAATCATATCAGATAAATCAAAGATACATGATGGAAATGTTTCTGGCATCACTTGGTTATCTTACTGTGGCTGACTTTCTTATCTTGTTTGGATATGCACTGTAGAAAAAGATTTATGTAATTATTCCTGAGTCCTTATATTCAACTCTGAGAGTTATGAAATTGTTTAACCTCCATCTAATAAAGACACTTAGAACAGTTTTCACCTTGAACTAACATTGCCAAAAGAAAGCAAAGTGCCAATATGTCAATATTCTTTCTTCCAACATATGTACATATGTGTGCATATCAGATATAGCGATGCCCCATCTATGTGTTAAATTATCTGAGAGCATGCAATTGCCCACCTATTTAAAAGAGTATAAATGGAACCCAAGGAACGTTAGGCAAGTAGTCAACCTTCCTGCATATTCCATTCAATTTGAATAACATCATTCTCAATGCAAAGCAAAGACAGGACTGTCAAAGTCAATATCCTAGATCTCCATGTCTACACAACAGCTTTCTCTGTGCTAATAGTGTTGAAGCCATCTGTCTGTTTCCAATTAAAGTCCATTTTTGATTCAATGACCAGTTGTTCCATATTGTGGGGCTCTTTTGTTACCCTCTCCCTCTGCCTCAAAATTAGTATAGTTACTCCAATGTTGATACTGTTTTTTCTTCCTTTATTTTATATTTCTGATCTCATCAGTTATTATGTCCTCCCTCTTTTGCAAGTCATGGGTAGATTTTCCATTTCTTTTTTTACATTTTGCTGTCCACAAGGTCAGTTTTCTGAATGTGTTTCATTTCTGATTTTAATTAATGTTTGTTCACTCATTTTGCCTATTTATCTAATTTCCTATATAATAAATATGTGAATAAAATTTTCAAGTATAAATAAGCTACATAAGTACATTTTAAATTAAAACACTAAATATATGATTCTTCAGGGAAGAGCAGATTACTGTCTAATGCTTTTTTCTGTTGTTACTTTAAAGTATTTATAAGTTCTTTCCATAAACCTTGCACACTTCCAGTCCTAATTCCATGCACTGTCAACTTTGTTCACTTTAGTTGAGAAAATAAAAACTAAATTTAAAAAATTAGATTAGATTCCAATTTCATTATCTATTTAGGTTTTATTAATTATCTCCACCCTGGAGGAAAACATTCAAAACTTCTCTTAATGGTTTTAAGGTGTTATCACTCTAATAACCTCGGCATGCTGCCATTTCATGAAAGACAGATGAATGACAGCTGCAGTTTTTAATGTGTTCTATTTTGTCATTGGCATTGGTGAACAGGTTGGAAACTTCATTGACAATGTCCCCATGCTTGCTATATTGTCATGGACAACTTAAATATCCTTTGTGGCATAAGCACCAGGTTCTAATTTTTTCTTACATCTACAAATAACAGGCTGTAGAAAAGGTATTATTTTAATAAGGAAGCTAAAATAGTAACATTGTATGGCCTGCAACAATGAAGAAATAATAAACTTTCAAGGCTCCCAGAACACATGCCTGCTTACTATGGTAGTGGCCACCTGAGGTTAGCTACTTTATAGTGGAGACTTTGACTAGATCAGGACTATGAATTTCCACATCCTCGTTAAGAAATAAACAAAAGGTTACATATCATAGTCAGCAGCATGAACTTGAATTTTTTAATCTTCCCTGAAAAGAGTATATTTGTATTTAGTCTGAAATTTCACATTTTTATGTCTGAGAAGTGTATTTGGACATTTGGTAAGGTTTCCAAAATGCAATATTTATATCTGTAAACAACTGAGCATAAACAAAATGTTTGATATGAAGAAAAAAATATGTATTTTGTTATCAGTGTTCACTCTATTCCTTAATCTAGGCTTTTGTACTCTCTTGGTGAACACTCAGTTCCTCTAACATCTATGCCCAGTTGCATCAGATTCTCTCCCGGAGTTTTCATATATCCAAATTCTAACTACTTTAAAGGTCAAGATTAAATGTTAGGTCCTCCAAGAAACCTTGTAAGCTATCAGAAATAACTGCCTCCTTTGTCCTCTTCATGTATGTCTTGTGGCAGTTTATATTTAATATAATGGAATATTTGGATACATATATTACCTCTTTTATGTATTTTAAATTACATGATGAAAGATAACAAGGCTTATCTCTGTTCTTTCTTAGGAACACAATTATCAAGAATCATTTCTGAATTGATTACTCAACCTGCGCTAAGCCAAGTTTCCTTGTTCTCTGAACCCTCTCCACAAATAAAACTCAAATATTTCTGCTTCAATCATTCAGGACCTGCTATTTTCCAGAAATTAATCTAGTAATAGAATTCATGGTAAAATTTTTCATAGCTTTAAATTATTTCTTTCCTAAATAGACATTTTAATTTTAATCTAATCTTGATTTTATTAAACCTAAAACATCCATAATGAAGGACTTTCAAGTTCGAAAATAAGGTTAATAGGAGAGCCTTTGGGGTTAACAGATGGCACCTGTCACATAATGTTGCTTACCGTGTTTCAGGTAAAGCTGCTCCTCCTATTCATATTGAATCAAACTATACTTTAAACTCCGCAGGGCTATTTGTAAGGAGACCATTAAAGCCTGCTTTGAATGATTTCATTGAACTTCATTACAAACACTGATATTGATTCTCAAACCTTAGAGTACATAAAGTAAATCACTTAGAGTGCTGTTTGTTGGTTGGTTGTTTTTTTGTTTGTTTGTTTGTTTGTTTGTTTTGGAGACAGGGTCTCTGTCCCCCAGGCTGGAGTGCAGTGGTGCCAAGTCAGCTCACTGCAGCCGATCTCTTGGGCTAAAGCAATCCTCCCACTGCAGCCTCTGGAGTAGTTGGGACCACAGGCATACAACACCACACCTGGCTAATTTTTTATTTTTATCTGTAAAGATAGAGTTTTCCCATGTTGCTCAGGCTGGTCTTGACCTCCTGGGCTCAAGCAATCCTCCTGCCTCAGCCTCCCAAAGTGCTGGGATTATAGGCATGAGCCACCGCACCCAGCCTTGAGTGTTTTTTTAATGAAGAATTCTATGTGCCATCCCCAGTGATTTCATTTTATGAGTATTAGTTTTAGGAATCTCTGATTTCATAAGCACCTAGTTGATTCTGATGCTGGTAGTCAGAGGACCAGACAGGAAGAAATGCTACTCTAGATGATCTTAAGATTACTGCCCCAAAGTTAAAATGTATTGCCCAGGAACAGTGATTAAGACATGTTTATATCCACGGCCTGATTTTTATTTCATTCCATTCCATAAAATGTGAACACAGTATACTTTAAATTTTGGATGCAGAAAGGATAGAAAGGAGTATATGAAATTTTAAGAATAGAAATGTTAAAAGAAGACAAATTATGCATTTACTTTTTCATACAAATGTATACCATGATTAAGAGTAAAATATTTAAAAGATATTAAGAATATTAAGAACATATACTGTATTAACAGCATAACTTTACATTTACTTATTTTTATGTTCAGTAAGTATAAATTACATATTTTATAAAATTAAAAATGAGATAATTTTGAATTTTATCTTTAAGAACTTTTTTAATTTTATATTTCCTTTATATGATGTTAAATTATAGATATGAAAGGAAAACTCAGTAAAAATAGATTTCAACAATGTTATGGTGACTCTTATGGGGCATTTTGTTTGTATTTGCAAGGGAAAACTAGCACTGTTCCATGACTCAAGAAATTATGAGTAAATAAATGAACAACTGAAATTTCTAGAAGTCTCATTTCAATTGCATCAACTATTGTTACTTCTAATCCTGAGGAGAGCAAAACACCACACTCTTGCTTATATATTATTTCAATTTCATAAATCATAGATAAAATCAAGAGAAATATCCAGAAAGTCAAAATTCTGTTCCTTTTTGTAGTTCTTTCATTTCATACCATTTCCTGTCACATTAATTCAATGGAAAATAGGTATTTATCTTCTGCTATGTGCAGGCACTTGTTTGAACATGGAAATAAAGTGGCGAACAAGATAAATAATATTCTGCTTCTTGTGGAAATTAAATTCTAGTTAGAGAAATAAATAAGTAAATAAATATTATATAAACTAAAAGAGAATTGGCAACAAAAGCTATGCAATTAATTAAGAAGAATTACATGGCCCAGCTCTAGAAAAAGGTCCAGAGGTTACTCTTGGTTTGGTTGGTCAGGAAAAGTAGTTCTAAGCTGGGATATCGGTACCTAGAAAAAGGCGGTAATGGTATGACCAGAAAACAGAGCATCCCCGATAGAGAAAACAGCTTGAGAAAAATATCTAAGATGGAATAAGGTTGGTCTGCTCTGTTCTAAAAAGAAAAGGAGGAAGAGTGGTTAAAGCATAGCGTGTGAGGGGAGACCTATTAAATAAGTCCAGGAGGTAGGCAGCAGCCAGGTTCTACTGAACTTGTGAACCAAGATAAGAAGTTTAGACTTTGTTCTATGAGCAATAAGTCATTAAAGAATTTAGATTTAAAGCAAAAGGGTGACAGGACAATTTACATTTTAAAATAGATCCTCCTGGCTCCTCTGCAAAGAAGCAGTTTGAAAGGGACTAAGCTGGAAAATAAGCAGAAAGACAATAGTGGTTTTAACAAAGATGATAATTCAAGAGTTAAAAAGAATTAGAGAATATTACTACACATATATGTATGTGTGTGTATATATATACACATACACAGCAAATTTTAAATAAGTATTTTATATATATATATATATATACATATACAAATGAATTTAGGATATTATTTAATTCCCTGAACAAAACACATAATTCTCCATATCTTTGCATGGAATAATATGCAGCCATAAAAAAAAGAATGAGATCATGTCCTTTGCAGCAACATGGATGGGGCTGGAGGCCATTATCCTTAGCAAACTAACAAAGAAACAGAAAACCAAATACCACATCATCTCATTTATACGTGGGAGCTGAATGATAAAGAACGCAGGGATCCATAGAGGGAACAACACACAGCGAGGCCTTTTGGAGGGTGGAGAGTGGGAGGATGGAGAGAATCAGGAAAAATAACTAATGAGTACTGGCCTTAATACCTAGGTGATGAAACAATCTGTACAACAAGCCCCCATGATACAATTATAGCTATGTAACAAACCTGTACTTGTACCCCTGAACGTAAAATTACATTTTAAAATATACACATAAGTTTGCTCGAGTAGATAGGACCTGAGATGCATAGTAAGGGAAAGACAGGTATAAATCATATAGATGAGCACTGTTCAAAAGAGCTTTCTGAAATAATGGAATTTTCTATATGTGAGCTATTTAACATGGTAGCCACGAGCCATATGTGTCTATTGAGCACTTGAAATGTAACTAGTGCAAGTAAGAAACTGAATTTGGAATTTTGAAATTTGAATTAACTTGAATTTAAATAACTGCACACAACTGACAGCTAGCTATTGGACAACACTGCTCTAGATGCTTGACTTGAACAAATTGATGGGTGACAGTTCCATTTGCTGAAGTGGACAAAAGTAAGAGAAAGCAGACATGGAATGAAAATCAAGAGTTCTATTTGAATCATGGTGAGTTTGAGATGCCAATGCATATCCATGTGAAAATATCATATAGTATACAGAATATGGGACTCTGAGGTTCCTGGGAATATGAGGAATATAGCCTAGGTTTGAGAATTATTAGAACATAGATCATATAGATCATATTTATACCTTATAAAACACAATGGGCTTACCTAGAGAGAGTACACATAGAACAGAGACCTGTAGCATTCTAACATATGATAAGCAAGTAAAATACAATCCAGAAAAGCGGATTTTTTTTTTTTTTTTTTTTTTGAGCTAGAGTCTCTCTCTGTTTCCCAGGCTGGAGTGCAATGATCTCGGCTCATTGCAACCTCTGCCTCCCGGATTAAAGCAATTCTCCTGCCTCAGCCTCCTGAGTAGCTGAGACTACAGGTGTGTGCTACCATACCAGGCTAATTTTTGTATTTTTAGTAGAGACAGGGTTTCACCATGCTTGCCAGGGTGGTCTCGAACTCCTGACCTCATGATCCACCCGCCTCGGCCTCCCAAAGTGCTGGGATTACAGGGGTGAGTCACTGCGCCCAGCCAAAAAGACTTTTTAAAATGTCAATTTGAAGAGGTAAATGTTAAAGTGGCGCAAGTCAAACAAGATCAGGTACATGATTCTTCAGGAAGGGTCCTCTCTTCCATATCAATTTTAGAAAGCACCCTTGGGAGCAGGACCAGAATGGGGTCCAGGGAGAAGAAAACTTAGCTTGATGACCTTAAGACAATGAATTTTGGTAGAGATTTGCACCTGTAGCTGAGTCTAAAAATAAAATGTGTAATGTTCATTTTACACAGATAATTCTGGAACCATGATGGAGAAACACTCATGGTTCCAGAAGCAAGAAGGAAGCAGCTAGAAGACAATTTAAAACTTGCACAATTTCCCTTTCAGAAATATTTACTATAAATTTCTAGTAATAATAAAATCAATCATTTTAACAAAAATGTTGTAGTATTATTTTAAGAACAAATCCTTTAAAGGTGAACATCACTCCTGAGTTTATATTATGCTTTAAAGTTTCATGATGGTAAACTGTATACACCAAGGTTTGTATCAGATATCAAGAAGGTATAAAACCCTTTGACAATAATTAAAAAGGGGTAAAAATAATTTTTAAGCAGTAGAAAATAGTTTTTTCTTTCACAGATCGGTTTCCCTTTGAATTTTTTAGAATTCTCTTTCAAGTAATTCAACCTAGGTTTAATCTTAGATTGTTTCAAGATTCATGATTGCATAATTTTGTTTGATGTTGATAGAAGAGAGGGATTTTTTACTCCGATGACTTCTGTATCTGCTTTAATCTGTCTCCAGAAAAAAAAAATGCATGTATAAAACCAGTAGCAAAGGAAGACAGGCTAAAAACCACCACCACAGATGAATGAACTGCATACATTGCTCTATTTTGATAAACTATCATTTGCACATACACAGAACTTTTATTCTGTGGTTGCAAATGAGGGTTCATAATACATTTAGGAGCTGTTGCTCATTTTGGTTCCACTATATAGTAAATAACAAAATCAAATCATGTTTAGAGGAAAAATATATACTATTATCCTTTACTTATTAAACCACTGATTTTTTGTGTGAGGGAAAAGTCCTCAATTAGTCACATCCTTCAGTGCTACATATAGGATATACATATGCACACACACACATATATATTTATTTATAAAAAGCATTAATAATTAAAATATTGATATAAAAGCATTAATAATTAAAAATACAGAAAGATATATAAATATAAAAGATAAGGTAGGTAAATGAAAATTCAATTTCTAACTATACAAGCTTACCAGGTTTTGAAAGTGAAAATGTAGAAGAGAGTGTTCTTGTGGTATCCACAACAGTGAGCATGAAAAGATTCAACAGTAAAACGCCAAGATACTACAACCATAGGTCATGTTTAATTCCATAATGCAAGACATATTTTTCTATGAATCTGTCTAATAAAATTATTTTATACATCTGATTCAAATTGGAAGTCCTTTTCCACCCACAAATTGAGTGAAATGAAAAACTCCTGATTATTCTAGAACAACAGAACCAATTGATCAGGCAATGCACAGACAGATCAGAAAGAATCAATGTAAGATAGAGCTACAGCAGGCTTTTGCTGAGATGCAGAAATGCAGATCAAAGCACAATAAAGAGATAGGGAAAAGTGATAGCCCCAAGACAAAGGCAGAAAAGCCATGTCGTAATCACACAGAAATTTTTAGCAATTTTGGAAGAAGCAAGACTCCAATAGTGCTGCTGATTTAGACTCAAATTAAAAATCTGAACTATAAGCAATTGCAGGCAAGGAAAACTTAGTTTCTTTTACTGTTATAAGAATATTGAAATAAAAATGGCATCCAAGCAACCCAGTGGTCTCATGTAGTAAGAGACACAAAAAAAGGATCTCTAGAACGTGAATACGAAGAGAAAGAACAAACCTTTTATTTGCCCACATGTGGTTAAGGGTATTTCAACTTCTTTCATTATAAACAATTAAAATTCTAGAATTAAAATTCAGCAAATAGTATTTTGAATTAGATATTTGAATAATTATACTTTTACAATTGCATAAGAAACTGAATATATTATCATTATAATGTGTGTTATCATTACAGATAATACCCTTATGATGATTTTGATCAGGCATCTTCAATTCTATATGAAAGAAGCCTACAGATAGGCAAATACATTAGAAGTCCTGCCATTATACAAGATCCAGAGTAACAGTGTGTCAGTAAATCAAAAGAGTTAGTTTTAGTGGCAAATCTTAAAAGGGGAGTAAGATAAATGAGAATACTAGTATCTTTAAAGTATCTAATTTACAGACCTGGATACATAAAAGTAATAAACAGATGAAATACCTTAAGTATTAGATTTTTATTTAAAACATAAGCAACCATTCACCAGTTTGAAATTGCCCAAAGATTAATTAGAATACTGACCAGTCTTTATTACATAAACTGTCTCTAATGCACTCCAATTTCCAGTTCCATTTCTTTACAGTAAAAACAGAGCTTAGGGACATTAATAAAGCAATATGAGTGTCAATCTTCATGTTTTTACTGTTTCTACAGTTTTTTAAAATCATCACACAATTTTTAGACATTTATATATATCAAGTCAAAGTATTCAATTTAGTTTTCAGCACATTACTATCCTTTTACATACATGTTTCACCAATTTGTGTTATGTTTCTTTAAACTTTTGTGTTTGTAGTAAAAAGTCCTACTGATATAAACCTGTTAGAGCCAATCTTCATTTCAGTTGGTAAGAGTAAATTTTTTCTTAGGTAAAGTAGAGCATGGGCTATGGGCAATGAACTTTCAGCTTGTCAAGGGCACTAAACTGTATGTTTCTAAGGAAAATGTAATTCATCTGTTAAATCGATTAAGAAAAGGTTGAGTAGGAGGTCTACTACAGATGATTGATGGATGTATGGATGGATGGATGCATAAATTCATATTGACAAGAGTCTTATGTAAACAATAGGTAGAAAGGGAAAGTATTATAGTTTAAAAAACTGCCAAATTTTTTGTTTAGAAAACAAAAATCTTCAGAATTCGGATTCAATACAATTTAATCTTTTTTAAAGAGCAGAAAATATATATGATCTTGCTTTGTTTATAGATCATAAAATTATATGAAAGATAAATGTAGAAAAGGAGAAAAATTGTTTTATTTCTGAATAAATGAATCCACATGTATCTCACAATTTATGGTTAATCTGTGCTAATCTGAAAAACAATTCAAAAGTAAATTGTGTAGTAAACTGACTACTTAGAATTTTAGGTTTCATATGGTTATCCTTTCCTTCTAATCAATGTACACACATGCACACAAACACCCTTCTGTGGTTGGTTTAGCCTCATTGAGCCTTTGAGCTTAATCAGGGGAATGTTTATTTGTTTTACATAGAGATCATTTTCTCTTGAATGAAGATGGTCCACAGAGCAAGCTTATCCACCTGATTAAAAAAAATAACTAATTAGACAAGTTCAGCCCTAACATTTCATCTGCAATTGGCAAATAGGAGAAAGCCATGGAATATTAAGTACCAAGATATGTTAATTTTTTTATATTCAAGATGCTACTTAGAGTAACAAAGGACAGGATGGGAGTAAAAGTGGTAATTAGTTTATTAATAGGCATTATCAAGCCTGTCCCAACTTCAAATAAACACATGTATAGACTTTTCCCCCATTGCTTATTCAGGGGAGTAAGATAAATGAGAATACTAGTATCTTTAAAGTATCTAATTTACAACTGGCAAGTTTAAAAGTTTTATGCTGGCTCTGAGACTATGGGCAGTGGAGTAAAGAAAATATATGCTAAATTTATGGTTAATTCATTTCAATTCCGGCAGTATAACTTAATTCAAGTTGGATGGGACCAGCATAAAGTCAGTTTGTTTATTTCTAATCTATAAATTTTGGATAGCTCTCATTTCTTTATTCATATATCTACCCCTCCAATTTCTTTATGTAAAATTCCAAGATAGAGTGCTACAGACTGAAGCAAGGACAGTGCACCTGCCTCAGCTGTACATGTATTAAAATGTGAACAGCAGCAAGTAGTCCCGGTTAGGCCTGTCATTTGCTTCTTCAAGTCCATGACCAAGGTCTATCAACACCCTATCCCAAATCATCACATATCTAAAAGTATGTGTCACGTTTTCCACAGACTACCAGGATTGTAGCCAGAAATCTGAGAAGGAACTTTCCCTTCCCCAAAGGACTAATGGCTTTCTGTCATAAAAGGAAACAAACCTTTAAAATCTAGAATGCCTCTTAAGACCAAGAAAAAAGGCTTAGTCAACTCAAAGGCAAAGAAAAGCTTTATAAACCTGCCTGCTCTAGGCTAGAGCTGAACCCATTTATGTCCACAGTGAACTCTCAGGCTTCTCGTGATTACCAAGAGGGTTATGGCCCCTGGGCTCACTTAGATCTGCTGTCTACCTCTCACCTTAAGCCTGTCCCCAGGCTGTACCTTTCACATATTAGTATCTGTTAGACATTTGGGTCCCGTCTCACTAGATATTATCGTCATGTTTTCAGTTTTCATATGAATGTTGAAGCAGGTGTAGCCATGAAAAAGAAGCACTAAGTTGAAAGACATTGAAAAATGGAAGTTGTTAAAGACAGTCTGTCTTACTTTCACTCTATAAATTATAATAGTAGATAACATCCACACAGTAAATAATTTTCATCCATATGAAACATCCAGGCTCCTTAACTAATACAAAATGAGATCATTCAAAAAAGAGGGTAGAATCTGAAGGTGTTATCAATATTTAACAGTCAACACTATGAAATAAAATATCCTAACTTGTGTGTTTATAAACACACACACCAAATGAGTTGTTATACTTCACCTATGAAGAAGGACACAAAGAACTTTTAGAAAAATAATTATCCAACAAACTTTCAGTAAAAGACTTTTAGAAACTACATGACACTCCTTTTCTCGAAAGAAAACTTCTTTTGCTAAAATATACAATCTATATCTTGGAACAGATATGTAGGCCTTGATATACTTTGTTTTAAAAGAGTACCTTCAGCCTATTAAATTGATTTTCTTCCTACAAAAAGGAAACAAAGCCAGGTCCAATTTGAGATATTTTCCTGAGGTCTGCCCATAATGATTATAATGATTACAGTATTCAAAGTTTTCTATATTCTCATTTGTTTTTATCAACTTGGTCTGTCAAAGTTGTCAAAACAGAGTTGAAGTTTCCCACTGCTATTGTATTGAATTTCTCCTATAATATTTAGGATCATTGAGTTGTGTGATATAGTAGAAAAGGTATAGACTATAGAAACAGAGCTTACTTTGTACTACTGCTTTATCCTTTGTGAGCTGCATGACTAGTCTTCAGTTTTGTAATCAATGAAAGGGCCTTAGTGATAAAGGTTTTGTAAAAATAAGATAATTCATTTACCATAATGCCTGACATATATTAAACATTCATATTAAGCTATTACCATTAAATATGCTAATTATACTCTTTGAACATGAACGTTTGTGAATTTTCTAGCTTTCATTGTATACTTCGTTTTATCAATTAAAAATAACCTTTAATCACTATTTATTATCTTGATTTTTACTTTGATTAAAATTAATATCCCCACTCTGGTTCCTTTTGGGTTGTTTTTTTTTTTTTTTTGCCCTTAATTTTATCATTAATCTTTCTGTGCCTTTTTGATTGGATTATATTCTAAGTGCAATGGGAAGGAATTAAAAGTGTTTAGGTACATTATTTGACTTACATGTTTAGAAATTTGCTCTGGCTGATGGTTAGCAAATGAATGACCAATGAAGAACACTAAGAAACCATAAAACATTTGAACCACCAAAAAAAGATAGTGACTTGGACTAGGACAGAAGTTATGTTTTGGTTGGGCATGGGGAGAAGGCTAGTAAAGGAAAGAAAAAATTCTAGAATAACTGCAGGTTTCTCAAAACAAGCAATTGGAAGGCCAGTGGTAACATTTATTAAAATGTGAGCCATTCAGAAATAAATAGGTGTAGAGGCCAGTATAGGAAAGAAAAAAATTCTGTAATAACTGCAGGTTTCTCGAAGTCAGCAATTGGAAGGTTAGTGGTAACATTTATTAAAAATGAACCATTCGGGAAGAAATATGTTTTCAGAGGAAGAAATAGAATCTTTTTTTGGTCATGTTAATTTTGAGAATTTATTTGACTTCCTAGTCAAATCAAGAGTCAGGGCAACAATAACAAATGTAAATTAAAGATGGAGATCTAAATTTGGCAGTAACATCACTAGGGAGAGGGTTAGATGATTGTAGATAAAGATGGAGACCCAGGACTAAGCATTCCAATATTTGGTGATTGAACAAACCTGGAGCTCTCAAAAGACACCGGAAAAAAAGCAACCAGAAAAGTAGAATATTCAGCAGTAGAGAAGGAAATACTTCAAGAAGGAAGTAGTAAACTGTGTCAAGTGATGCTAATAAGTAGACTTAGATGAGCTCTGCAATGTGACTATGGATTTTAGCCTTAAGAAATAGATATGGTCTTAATTCTACTAGATTCAGAGGCATGATGATGAAAGAAGTCTAGGTCGAGTGAGTTAAGTGGAGAATAGCAGTAGTTTGAAGAGAATGAAATGAAAACATTAGAAAAGAATGAGTAGACACTTTCCAAGTGTTTCCTTTCTTAGATCACTTACCCATCTTAAGTCATCTCTTAATTCTCTTTTCTCCATATCTACCATCATCTTATACATTTTATCCTTATGTTTCACATTCTAGTTCATCCTCCCACATTGTTTTGCTCTTTGGACACAAAAAGCAGGACCAGGACACACTTTAGTTCTATAATTGAAAATCAAATGTCCTAATATTCCTTTTTAAACCTCAACCAGACTACTTTTAATCTCAACTGATGGTCCATAAAACTCATCTGGCTGTATTACCATCTTAGCCTGTTCTCTTATTATTGCCTCAGCCTCTATATAATAATGAGCATATCCTCTTTTGAAAATATTTTTCCAGTTCCAATAATAAATAATTTTAAAGATGTTTCTTCTGAATCTTCAAGATAATTTCCTCTTTCTTTTTACCTATGGTAATTTTCCTGTAGGCCTCACGGTCCATCTAGCAAAATCCTATGTTTGACAAGATACAATAGGCAGGGCTAGCCCTTGAGACCCCATTTATTTATTTATTTGGGGACTAATTGAAACCCCATCTTAAATCTACAGCCTATGACTCAATGTATATTAATTTTAATCTAACTTCTAATACTCACTAATAATTCTCATAATTTTTTATTAGTTATTAATTCAATTTACCCTGACCAATCCCAGAATTGTAGCATTCTGATTTTGAAAGTTTTGTAGAGCTGTTTGTTATTCCGACTCACCCTTATGCAGATGTTCACTTTGGCAGAAATCATCTACTGTTAACTGCACATTGAATAAATTTAAAGCTCCATGTTGGTCATTGTTACTGTCAGTATCTACTCATTATTTTCAAATGGGAAATGTTATCCGTCTTCTTTAATGAGATTGTTCTTGAAGAGAAATTTTACATTGGCTGTCGAACAGCTCTGCTCAGAAAGGGTCAAATCTGAATTTTAAAATTATACATACCTCCCCAAATCACTGACATATTTTCCTAATCACTGGGGCAAAATTTCAGTTTATAAAAACAATTTCATATATTTACCAAAGCCTAACAAAACACGAAGGACAAATTGATAATTGGCATAGAAAACACAAAATGTGCCAAATTGTTCTTCTAAATATTGAGGGAAAGAGGTTAAACATAATGCTGTACTTTACACTAATGAAAATGTCCAGTATATTCTTTTCCCAGAGCAAAATAACATGTTAATGACTCTGCTCAATGTCATTTTTGTTAATGTGACATCCAAGGAAGCACTCCTCCTGGAGCCATAAACTGTGTTCAAGGACAAAGATCAAAACTGCTTATCCCCTGCTTCTCACTGGTGGCTGTAACTGAAGCCCTGTGTCACAATGACCATCATTACTGTAAGTGGCGCTTAGCCAGTTAGTGTTAGGGCTGTAGCCTATCCTCACTGTTTCCTCTCCTGGGGAACAGGAAATCATGTACTGAAAATTGTTACTACAGCATTCCAGGACTTACAAAAGGGAAGACTCCTTTCCTTTAGCCTGACGACTCCTGAATATTTAATTCCTACTTATTCTTTAAAACTCAAATGTCATGCTTTCACAAGAGCTTTTTTTTTTTTTCAGTGAGAGAATGGAATTTCAGAATCGATGTAGAGGCGGAGCGGATTAGGATAATAATAAGACCTGAGAAGTAGCTGAGCACAGGATTAAGAGAAGGGAGATGGGAATGGTGGTATAAAAATCTTCATCCTAATATCTTCAGTGTGGAGACTGATGATATAAGTCAAAGGACCACTTCGGCTGACGCTATAGTAAGATTGTGGACATGGAACTGAATCATAGGGTCTAGGGCAAACTGTCCTGAATTTATGTGCTTTTCAAGATGGCCGGATATTGCAATATTACCCACTAGACGGCAGTAATCCAACCACCCTGCCTTATTCAGGACTTTGGTATTCCTTAAAAGCACCTTGATACAGCCTGTCCCTTAGCTTCCTGATCTCATTTATCAACCTGGGTGCTGAGTGTTTCCTAGTATATGCTTCCAGTCTTTGCTGTATGTCTCTTAGCTGTTTGATTATTTAAGATATAAACTAAAATATATGTATTTCTTAGTTTGTGCTAAGAACTTTAGATATGACAGGATTGATTGATTGATTTAATTTTCATAACAACTCTCTGAGGCAAGATTATTGTTCCCATTTTAAAGGTTAGGGCACTGAGTAACAGTTTGAGTAATGTGCCTAACTTAGCAAGAAATAAAGCCAAGCCTCAAAAATCAATTTGATTTTGCAATAAAGCCTGTTATACCATTATGCATATAGCCCCATCCGCTCCATTTGACCAAAATACAGTGTCTCTCAGATGTGTGATAGCTTTGGCCAATAGAAAAGAGTTTGTTATTCTCCCATATTCAGAGAAGCAAAGCAGCTACGATGTGTGTGTGTGTGTGTGTGTGTGTGTGTGTGTGTGTGTGTGTTTAAATTTATAGATCCAGCATTTCAATCTAAAAAAGTATTCCCACAGAATAGAAAGTAATGAAAATTTTATCCCCTTTACAATATTTTCAATATTAATTTCAACTCCTAATTTTAATTGTTACAGCTTTGCTAAAATGCATTACTCTTTGCATTTTTAAATATATTTAATGTCATATATGATATGTATTGTATAGATGTTGGTTGGTTTTTAAAAAGGGGCCATGTATAATAACAATAGGACAATGAGCTAAAAATAAGTTGTGTGCACACCATGTTTCTGATTTGGGTGAGGTAAATATAATGATAATTTCTGTTCATGGAGGAAGTAATCATATTTGGACAAATGTTGCATTCTGTTACTATAATATACAATTAAACACAATCAATGTTAATATGTAAAACAAACAAGTTCGTGGGTCAAGGAAATTATTGAAAACTATGTCAGTTATGCTTTAAGACTGTGGACATTCAAATGTTAGCAAATATTCTTGAAAATCATTAGTAATAAAAATGAAAATAAAAGAATTTTTGGTATTAATAATACTAGATAGTATAAATAACTTGATAGTATAAAATTACCCTCATAGAGGTTTTTATGATTATATGATAATTATAAATAGAGTGGAAATCCCAGTAATTATTATATCACTATTATTACCTTCCCACCATTAAATACTTATTATGTGTCTACTAAACATTAAATATTGCCACAACTTTAAGTGGTAGGTAGTTATCATCCTTGTTTTATAAAAAAAAGAAGCTAAAGCTTGTTTTATAAACAAAAAAGCTTGTTTTATAAACATAGACGCTCAGCAAATGAAATCATCTAAGATCACACAGTAAATGGGAAAGTCTATATGGTTAACTAATTTGTGTGTGTGTATGTAAAATACATGGAACTTTACAGAAGTTGGTATTCCAAAAACCTTCTACATTTATTTTGCCTACATATAAAGCTAGCTCAATCCAAACATATAGAAGCTTTCATTGTATTTACAAATATATCACTTTTTTCCTAAATGTCATAGTGGATTTTCTATATAGCGCCTAGCCTTCCCATCCCATTTGGAATTTAACCAATTTTGTTTTAATTGCATTGATGCAACTCTATGTTTTTTAAGTATTACAATAATAAATACATATTAGAGAGATATATTACCATTATAAAAGTATTTTGTGGCCAAGAAAAATAAAGCAAGGCATTAAACACAGAATTTAGAGATTTTTGAGTAAAGATCATTAGTTAGGTTTGTTTAGATTGAAAGTGACTGAAAAATCATTACCTTACAGCTTCCTCATCACAGTTCTATGTGAAATGAGTAGGTGAGACACTTCATTTCTTTAAAAATAATCCCTGTCAAAAATCATAAAACTTTGCTATCACAACTGACATTAATTGGCATCCTTGTTAGCACTCTCCAAAGAGAGGTCAAAACTGGATGTTCATAGAAGCTGAATTGCCCCTTCTTATAAGTGGTTCCTCTGGGTTAAAGAGAAGAGACATGGAAACCTTAGAAAAAGTTTGGCATGTACCTTTATTATAAGAAAAACAAGAGACATTCTTGTTGAACTGTGAGCATTGATTGTTTGACATCGTGGTAGAGCATTATACATGAAACTTACAGACAGATGTCTAAGATAACTAAAAAGATCAGATAATAGTAATACAATTTCCCAGTTTTGCACCCAAAGTATTTGAAGCTAGATGTGGATTTTTATAGAATTTCAGAGAGGTTTGTGGGAGGTGGACATTTTATAAGGGGAAAAGAGTGCATATACCTTATGTTATGTAACAGCCCAGTAGGGTAAAAGGCAGAATACTGTTAATATTTCTAAAAATATATATATGAATATGCATACCAAGTAAATAAAGAAAAGCTATAAACATCCTCATGTCAATTCAGATCAAAGTTTGCCACCAAAACAATGAATTCACATAAGGTTAAATTTTGCTGCCAAATACATTATGAAAAAAATGCTATTATAGGAGATTTTATAATTACTGAATTGCAGATATAGTATTATATAGTTGTACAAAAATTAGGATTATTTGGCTATAAGGAAAAGAAGATTGAAAAGTCATTAAATATAGACTTTATTTGTTAATTTATATTTTCAACAAATGGTTATCAGGCACCTACTATTTGCCAGTTACAATGACAGGAAAACACGATGACAAGACAAATGTGGCCCTACATTTGAACAGTGTTTTATTATCAGCTTTATTCATCTCCACTGAAGCCAGAAAAGAAAGCAAACATTTTAAATGTACCTAAGAAAAATGAAACAAAATAAAAAATAATGCTTCTCATTTCCATATTTAAATGCAGGAAAATGTTATCACAGAAGCTTATGGAATCTACTCGCCTTGGGAAATCTTAAAAGATGTATCATCTGTCTTAGATGATTTGGAGTCAATCGAACCAACAATGTGGCTCCTTAAGGCACCAATTCAACAAAGATTCTACACTCAAATTAATTTTCCCAAACTTGATTCTAATTACTTCTTATAGTATAATAGATTTTTTACAGTACCTTCAATGTTTATAGATACAGTTATTTTGCACAGACAGAAACAAATCTAAATAACCACAAATCAAGAGATTTGATGCACATAAATCAACAAAAATCCAATTAAATTTTAGCTAGCTAAACTGACTAAAAGTAAAAAATAAATACAAATATGAACTCGTAGATGAAGAAGTCAATGTATTAATTCTGAATGATCTCCTTTTGAATTAAGAATTTTATGACAAATGGAAATAAAGCACTATCATTGCCATTTGAAATATAATAATGAGGACATTGGTGGTGGTGGTAGTGTTTTAATATCCACAAACCCGTGACTCAGACAGCCAACAATATAAGCACCCATCCCACTGTTAATTATATGGAAACAACATTTTCTATTCTACATCCTTCTTCTATAAACACCATTGTGCTCTCACTAAGATTTTCAAAGAATCACTACGTGCCATTTATTAAGTAATAGTGTATGTAATAATTCTAGTTTTTCTAAAGATATTTCTCCCTTAACATTTAGTAAAGAACATTTTCTGTAGCCATGCACAAACAAATGATTAAACTCAATAGGCCAATTGAGTAGCTGTTTCTCATACATAAACGCTTTTGCAAGCATATTTGTACATACCTCTTTCTATATAGTGGTTAAATAAAAATTAGATTTTATTCGCTGAAATTTTAAAGATCAAAGTTGTAATGCAACCATCATGTAGCGCTTTGCTATAGCAGGCTGAGATGTCATAAGACATCTTTCCAAATACATCCATTAAATATGCTAGAATATGAATTATTCTTGTAGAAAAAAATGATTATTACCTCTAGAGCAAAATAAAACTTCTTTGGAATGGGTCAGGTTCAAAGTCTTTCCATAAAAAAGATGTTCCTATATAAGTGGAAATTGAAACATTCCTTAGCCTATATTTCACTAGCATGGGAAATTTGAGGTTGTTCACATTTCCACTGAGATGTGTGTTCTGAACCACCTGAGAAAATTAAACAACTATAATTCTAAAATTCTATTAGGCCATTTATCTACACCTTCTCACTGATAGGAGAGGTAAAATCAGTAGAACAATAATTTGATGTTTTTCTTACTGTGTCACAAAAAATTATTTAACCAGTACACAATGAAAGTCTATGTGATATAAGCAAGTGGTTGCTGTATTCAGCAGTCTTATTTCTCAGAATGAGCCATCAAAATCCAAGAGCTCACAAGGAGATGATGAAAAGGGACTTTCCAAGATGAATATCAAAGATTGCAAGACCAAGATGATAATCCTGCACCCCCTAAAACTTTCCTTTGACTGCCTAGTATGGGTGGATACAGTATTGAAAAAGAGTTATAATGAAATACTGTTTAATTTTCTATTGGGAAAATGTATTTCTTCTGATACTCTTTCTAAAAAATATCCATTGTTAATACCAACTTGAGCTGCTAGACTGCCTGTCTCTCTTTATCTCCTGGTCTTTACAAAGATAAAAATAGGTAACTTCTGACTGATTGGTCTTTGTCCTATCTCAAGTTACCCCAGTAGTTGTTACCTTAAAGAGCCACAACTACAAAATTGAGGAATGGATTCTGGATGATAAAATAGATTTACCTTCTCTGAAAGCTAGTCTCAGCACATACAAAATGAGGGAATTAATAAAATCTACATCATAGGATTGTTGTGATAAATAATTAAAACAATTCAATGTGAAATGCTTAGTACAGTGCCCAGGGAAAGCTTAGTAAATTTTACAGTTACCAGTATTTTAAGAATCGCCGGGTATGCTGCTTTGCACACATGGAATTCATTTCTCTTTTATGTAAGTGCCATTTTTTCTAACTGATGTTTATACATTAAGGGACTACACTGTGTTTAAAAAGCTTTAGACTGAAAATACGTAAAATTCCACTGTGGTTCCTGCCTTGCAAGGAGCTGATTTTTTATATGCTGTGGTAACATTTACTTAATCATTATGAAATTTAGTTTTCTTGTCTGTGATATATGTAGTTGGGCTCAACAGCTCTAAATTGTCTTCTTGACCTCTGGGATCATTTTATCCCTACGAGGAAGATACATTTTGTTCACAGCTAAAATCATGCTCCATTGGGCAAAGTTGAAAGCTTTTCTGTAACAAGGCAAGGATGCCCATTCTCAGCACATCTAATCTATATAAAGTAATGAAAGTCCTAGCCAGAGCAATTAGGCAAGAGAAAAAAAAATGGCAATCAAATTGGAAAGGAAGAAGTTAAACTGTCTCTGTTTGCATGTGATATAATAATATCCATAGAAGACCCTAAAAACTGCTAGAATTATTAAATAAATTCAGTAAAGTTGCAGGATACATAATCAACACAGAAAAATCAGTAGTGTTTCTATACACTAACAGCAAAAATCTGAAGAAGAAATTTTTCTAAATCACATTTTAAATAGCTACAAAAATTAAATACTTATGAATAAATTTAAACAAAGAGGTAAAAGATGTCTACATTAAAAAGTATAAAACATTAATGAAATAGGTTGAAGGAGACAGAAATAAATAGAAAGGCATTCCATGTCTGTGGATTGGAAGAATTAATAGTATTAAAATGTTCATACTACCCAAAGCAATCTACAGATTCAGTGCAATTCCTAACAAAATAACAACAACATTCTTCACATACAGAGAAAAAAAAATCCTAAAATTCATATGGAACCACAAAAGACTCAGAATAGCCAAAGAAATCTTAAGCAAAAAGAACAAAGCTAAAGGCATCACATTACCTGACTTCAAAATACACTACAAGGCTATAGCAACGTAAATAGCATGGTACTAGCAAAAAAAAAAAATTAATCACTGCATTTACAGCCAACTGATTTTTGACAAAGGCATCAACAAAACAGAATTGGGAAAGGACAGTTGTGCCAATAAAGGATATTGGGAAAACTGGATATCCAAATGCAAAAGAAACTCTTATTTCATACCATATACAAAAATCAACTTGAAATGGGTTAAAGGCTTAAACGTACAACCAAAAACTATAAATAAAATTACTAGAATAAAACACAGAAAAGACATACCATGACATTGGTCTGGGCAATGACTTTTTGGAAAAAACCCAAAAGGCACAGGCAACAATGGATAAACTAGAATGCGCCAAACTAAAAAGTTTCTCTACAGCAATGGAAACAACAGAGTGAGGAGACAACCTATAGAATGGGAAAAAATATTTGCAAACTCTACATCTGATAAGGGGTTAATATCCAAAATATATAAGGAACTCAAACAACTTGAGAGCAAAAAAATAAATAACCCAATTAAAAAATGGGCAAAGGACCTAACTAGACATTTCCCAAAAGAACACACGCAAATAGCCTGCAGGTATATGAAAAAATGCTCAGCATCACTGATCATCAGGAAAATACCAAATAAAGCCAGAGTGAGATATCACCTCACATCTGTTAGAATGACTATTATCAAAAAGATGAAAAAGACCAGCCATGGTGGCTCATACCTGTAAATCCGAGCACAATGGGAGGCTGAAGCAGGAGGATAGCTTGAGCCCATGAGTTGAAGACCAGTCTGGGCAACACAGTGAGACCTCATCTCTACAAAAAATTAAAAAAGAATTAGCCAGGCATGGTGGCACATGCCTGTAGTCCCAGTTACTTGGGAGACTGAAGTGAGAGGATTGCTTTAGCCCAGGAGGTCACAGCTGCAGTGAGTGGTGATCACACCACTGCACTCCAGCCTGGGTGCCAGAGTGAGACCCTGTCTCTAAGAAATAAAAAGATACACCATAACAAGTGTTGGCAAGGATGTGGAAAAAAGGGAACATTTGCACACTGTGAGAATGTAAATTAGTATAGCCATTATTGAAAACAGTATGGAGTTCCCCCCAAAAAACTAAAAATAGAACTACCATAAGATCCAGCAAGGCCACTATTATGTACATATCCAAAGGAATTGAAATCAGTATGTCAAAGAGATAGCTTCACTCTCATGTTCATTACAGCACCACTCACAATAGCCAAGATATAGACTTCAGTGTCCATTAATGAATAAGTGGATTTTTTAATGTGGT
The DNA here is from genome assembly GCF_000001405.40 of Homo sapiens. Taxonomy (NCBI): domain Eukaryota; kingdom Metazoa; phylum Chordata; class Mammalia; order Primates; family Hominidae; genus Homo; species Homo sapiens. The sequence goes on from NC_000005.10 coordinate 86,553,915, forward strand.
ATATATATACAATGGAATACAATTCAGCCATAAACAGAAAGAAATCTTGTCACTTGCAACATGGATGAACCTGGAGGACATAACTTAAGTAAAATAAGAAAGGAACAGGCAGACAAATGCCGTTTGATCTCGCTCATATATGAAATCTGAAAAAGTTGGTCTCATAGAAGTAGAGAGGAGAATGGTGGTTACCGAGGCTAGGGTGGATGTGGAGGGTAGTTGAGGAGATGTTGGTCAGAGGATTCAAAATTTTGGTTAGACAGGAAGAGCAAGTTCAAGAGATGTATTTTACAACATGATGACTATAGTTAATAATATAGTATTCTTGAAAAATGCTAAGATAATGGATGTTAGTCCTCATTACAAAAGAACGATAACTTCAAGAGGTAATGCACATGTTAATTAGCTGGATTTAGTCATTCCACAATGTATATATACTTCAAAACATCATGTTGTACATGGAAAATACATAATATTTTATCTGTCAATTTTAAAAAATTTATACATATATATACACTTTATATACAAGAAAGTAGTTATATACACTTTATATGCAACAAAGTAGTATATATATAATACAACAAAGTAATATATATACTATACTATATGTAATGTGTATATATAGATATTATACAACAAACTAGTATATATATACACTATACTATATATATAAAGTAGTGTATAGTATATATATAAAGTAATACATATACTATACTATATATAGTATGTATACATATACACAATACAACAAAGTAGTATATATATACACTATACTATATATACATATAAAGTAGTATATATATACATACTATACTATATATATATACTACTTTGTTGTATATAAAGCCATAAACTAAGCTGAGTAAATGTATTCATCAATTCTGGCTTTCTGGATGAGAAGTCTTGAATAAATATAGTTTTCTTCTTTTCCACATCTATCTATAAATTTTTAAATGCTTAGTCATCATGTCTTTACATAAATGTCAACATTTCTAGCAATAGCATCTGCGTCAATAGCATCCTCCTATAAGATTAAGTGGGTGCCTTCAATGCTATATAAATTGAATATTGAATACTGTATAAATTGAATATAATTTTTTACTAATAAACTTTAAATGATCTAAGTATATACTACTGTTTACATAAAAGCCATTTTCCCTTTCCTCTTTGCTCTTTTTTCTTTTTTTCAGGTATTACTGGCCAGCCATGTATTTCAGAAAAGACTAAGTTCCCACAAATCAATCTTGAATAGTCTACACCATTGCCCCTTCAAGTGATTGGTCTGGAAAAAAGCTGAGAAATAAGATGTTAAAAAAAATGTCTACAGAATAGTTTCTGGAAAGGATTATTTTTGTTCTTAAAAGAGAACCATAATGAGAAATGTCATTTTACTGCCTTTGGCCATTATTTTTTCTGTGTGATGTCTGGCACTGCAGGAGCTGTTTTGTGACCAAGAGGTAAGGCAGACTAAAAAGGCACAGAGTGGAAAGATGGAAAAGCATGGATCTTTCATGATTTTACTGAATCATTGAATTTATGAACACTACAATTTTATCAATTCTGGACTTCTTGTTATGTGAGATTATAAATGTCCTTATTGTTTAAGTCATTTTAAGTTGATCTTTTTGTAACATCTGAAAGCATCCTGCCTAGGACATAATACACTTGTCAGAAAAGCTAGCTACTTTAACAAACATTCAAGATTTCAGTGGCTTAACCTGACAGAAATTCATTCCTTGTTGACCTCACAGTCAGATTTGGGTCATCAGGGTCTCTGCGGTGTGCAGACATTCACAGCACTGGCTTTTGCCAGTGTGATACCACATCCCTTATATACAATCCGGTAGGAAAGAAAGAGCATGGAGACCATATTCCTATACCTGGACCTTTGCCATATAACCCTACCTAATCTACTGGAAAATGCAGTCAAGCCACAGGCCCAAAAGGAAGAGGAAGAGGTTTGGCAAACACATAGTATTGTCTCTAATATATACATTTACTTTAACAATTTCGATACAGTAATTTTTTTTCAAAATAATCAGTGTTGGCTTAATCACTTGTCTAAGTGCAAACATCACCTGCTATACCACCTACTAAAAATGTTTACCTTAATAGTATCATGCTTTGAAAGACAAATTTACCATTCATATATAGCCCATAAATATCCCTTATTTTTATCCCATTAAAACTAGGAATACTTTTTCTAAACTTTAGAAAGGGATGCAAAATGAATGGGATTAATTTTATGATATTTTTCAAAAGATCAAGTTTATTTCTGAATGGAAGGAATTCAGTTCGATCAGATTGAGTATTCAATAAAGATGATAATAAAAAAGAATAACTAGGATATTTGAGTTAGAATACAAAAGTACATGTTAGGCTTATTAAGTGAATCCTAGCCAATTGAATTTACTTTCTGTGGATGGATTTTCAAAACCTAGAAAGCATCTCTAATATCACTGCTGATTTGTTTCTCATTTAATGTTCCTTTGCTATACTGGAAAGATTAAAGATTTAAAAGAATTGTTAAATATCTTGTCAATGATTTCTCATTTAGATCTTTTGTTCTCTCTCTCTCTCTCTCTGTGTGTGTGTGTGTGTGTGTGTGTGTGTGTGTGTGTGTGTGTGTGTTTTCTCGGTTGGCTACTTTTACCTACTATATTTTAGAAATAAGGTTTCTGGTGTAACAGAGCAGTCCATAGATCAATCACGAACACTATCCAGTTGTTGTCGGTAACCAATATCTAATACTTATGGGAGAAAAAAACTCAGGAAAAAAAGATAACACTGAGCCTCTTGTGGGAGATTTCTCATGTCTGGTGGGTGACAGAGAAAGTGAAGCAAGACCAATCCCATTACCACTAGTTATGCTTCAGCCATTCCAATTTCATTCATTTTGCTTTTATTTCTGATGTGCAGAGGCTGTTTGCCTTACGGGAACAGGCAAGTCTTGGAAGAATGTACATTAAAAAGTTATGAAGAGTACATAATTTATTAAATCCAACTCATTATTGGAAACTGTTAGCATACAATTCATTTAATAGGAATCATTGGTGGAGAAAATGACTGTTGTTTTGATCTGATCACATAAGCTATGGTGTAATTTTCCTTGTCTGTGGTGATTTACTTAATCTTGAACAACATGCATACTCACTTAAACTATGCTTGCTGCTGGGAAATAGACACAAAGGTTTTGTTATTTATTAATGGCAATGGCTTTACATTTTTATTACATTCTGTAACAAATAGACTCTCCGAGTTTTCAGCAAAATAATTGAATAATTGAATAGAGTAGCTATAGCCCTGAGTGCAAAATGGACAAGAATAGGAAACCATTTTACTGACAAATACCAAGGCCTATAGACCCATAATCTATTAACAAGGTTCACTCAATAAAACAATCAATCAAACAAAAAAAGATGTCTGTGTGCCTACTATGCACAATGAGTAAGCCTTAATGTTGTATAAAAAATGGCAAGAGACTAAAAAGACAAGTTACATACATGAAAATAGTTATCTACAGATAAAAGGCAGCATGTTAACAAACACTAGAGGATACAGACAAATACAAGAGGTCGGAGGAGATGGGATCTCAATGACAAGTGACAGGCAAGGGATAATCCTTATCTAGGGAAGAGCCCCATTTCTAAACTTAGGCAAAATTTCTCTAAGTAATCTTGTAACATCGTTTTCCAATCTGAATGTTTTAGAACTAACTCTTAATGGCAGGATAATTTCAAATACTATATTAAATTTATTTAACCATTTATTTAGCCCACAGGAACACTTACTTTATTTCCAGTTTTTCCCACTACAAAGGTACTATAATAGTCCCCCTCACAGTATTTTTGCTCTTATTTCTATAGGATACATTCCCAGAAGTGGAATTGCTGGGTCAAAAGCTGTATATATATATGTGTGTGTGTGTGTGTGTGTGTGTGTGTGTGTGTATACATGCTGTTATATATATGTTATATATGTTATAAATATATGTATATATAACATATATGTATATATAACATGTTATATATATATAAGCTGTGTATATATACACACACACACACCATATTTATATATTCTGAATACATTGTCATATAGCTTTCCAAGAAAGCATTCAAGCTCACTTCTCCCACAGCAAGGTCATGGCATACATTTTGCCCACATCATTGTTGGAGGTAGTGCTGTCACTCTTTTGAAGTTTTGCAAGTCTAATGGTAGGAAGTAGTCTCACACTGTGACTTTCATTTTCATTACCCAAAACTCTCAATGAGTTTGACATCCTTTCACATATATTTAATGGCCATTTGGATTTGCATTTTAATGAAATTATTTTCATCCTTTGCCTATTTTTGTATTGGGTTGCATTTCTTCTAATAAATAATAAATCTGAAAGTATACTTACAGATTTCTAAATTTTAATTTCCTGTTAACAGACAAAAATTATGAATTTAATAGTGTTGCTTATTTTCTGCTGCACACAATGCATGGTGCTAGAGTGCCATGGGAGTTACGACATGGTTAAATTTGATAGTAGAACTGAAATAGATATGGAAATAAAATAAAATACATCACACAATAAATTTAAGAAGAATTTTTTTTTTGTTAATATGGTCAAGAAAAAATTTTCAGCAAGGAGAATGTTAGCTTGGATTTTACGGGTTGGTATGATTTTGGTAAATGTTATCTGAGAAAAGAGCAATCCATGTACAAGGAATAACAGATTAAAAAAAAAAAGGAATAATTTTAATGCCAGAATAGTTGACCTAAGGTCTTGCTCTGGTACCCAGGCTGGAGTGCAGTGGCATGATCAGGCTCACTGCATCCTTAACCTCCTTGGCTCAAGCAATCTTTCCACTTTGGCCTCCTGAGTAGCTGGGACCACAGATATGCACCATCATGCTTGGCTAATTCTTTTAGGTTTTGTAGAGATGTGGTCTCACTATGTTTCCCAGGCTGGTCCTGAACTCCTGGGTTCAAGCTATCCTCCCACCTCAGCCTCCCAAAGTGCTGGGATTACAGGTATGAGACACCATGCCCAACTGCAAATGCCTTCTAAGTGTAACATTTTTAAAAAAAATAATGTTATGCTTCTTGTTAAGAAACACAGAGAAATCTGTTTCTTTGTTTCAAATTTAAAATTTTAGCAATCACTTGTAGCTATCACTTATTATATACAGTCTTAAGCTGTAATTATTTGAAAATCAGGAAAACCTGGGAGTTACATTAACACTTTATTTTCTGTAAGAACACTAAAGTTACTAAATAGTAGCTTGACTAATAAAAATTAGCTTGAGTATAAAAATTAATACAACTTTCTAAAACATCTAATTTAAAACGAGAGAAAATCTCTGATTCAATGTGAATTGTGGTTATATTTGACTTTGAACATACTGTAATCTATTCTGTGTACTGTCCATGGATTATTGAAATCTACAAATAACCCATGTTTCTGAAAAGCCTTATCAGTTATATGAAACAAGGTACTGTTGATGCTTGAACAACATGAGTTGGAACATCATGAGTCCATTTTTAGATGAATTTTATTTTGCCTCTGTCACTCTTGAGACAGCAAGACTAACCCCATCTTTTCCTCCTCAGCCTACTCAACTTGAAGATAACAAGGATGAGGACTTTTATGATGATCCACTTTCACTTAATGAATAGTAAATACATTTTCTCTTTCTTATGATTTTCTTAAGAACATTTTCTTTTTTCTGGCTTACTTTATTATAAGAATGCAGTATATAATAAATATCACATGTAAAATATGTATTAATTGGCCGTGTTATCAGTAAGGCTTCTGATCAATAGTAGAATAATAGTTGTTACATTTTTGGGAAGTCAAAAGTTATACACAGATTTTTTTTTACTGCAAGGGAGGTCGGCACCACTAACGTCCATATTGCTCAAGGTACCACTGTAAGAAACAGCAATTTCAGTGGCTCACTCTGGGGGGATAGAGTGCTGCTTCTTTCCCTCCACTGTACAATTCTGAATATATAGCTACTTCAAAGTCTCCCAAAATAAACACAGAAGTCCCTGAGGGTACCTAAGCTATTCTCAAAACAAGCGTACAGTTCATTTTATCTTCTGCCTTTGCTGGGCATTGCAGACCCTCCCCTATGGTGTCATCACTTCCACCCAGCACTCTGAATTTTTCATATGCCATTGCTGCTTCAACAATCACAACTAGGTGCTATTGCTTCTGCCCTGAACACTCCATTTTGCCAGGCAAGGTTACTGCTTGTCCCCTGTCTGTTAAGCAATGTTGTTTTCAGCATCTAGCACTAGAATCTCCCACTATCTTCTTCCAGGCATCACACCCTCCTGTGAGGCACTGCCACCAAAACACTGGAGAGCATGAGGTACGAATGCTGTGCAACAGCCAATGGTAAAGAGTAAAAGGATGCTTCTCCTCCTTCTTTGTGTTATGGACTCTTATGGGAGTCCCAAACATCTGCTGCCTGTAGTAACTAATCTATTAGTTATTAATTAAAACCCTCTCTCTTCCAGTAACTCAGACAGAATGAATGCTGAAGAGTGGATGCCGATTTTAAAATGCCCTCACTGCAGAACCTGAAACTTCTTCCCCTCTTTGGCAAGACAAGGATGGGGAGTATCCAGGATGCACAAGAAGGTCACTCAGCTGGAGCTCTGTTGGAGGAGCACTGCCTCAAAATGGTTCTGACCTGACAAAGTGAGGGACCCTATCAAGCTTCTGATCCTCAGGAGAAGTAGAAAATCAAGAGTTTCAGAGTGAAGTTCTATGTCCAAGCCAGTGAAATCTGCAGTGCAGAAGTCCCCGTAGGCAACCTCTGAAGAATTCACACATGCTTGCCAAGGAAGCAAGTCTATTTGAACACCTGTATGCCCAGAAAGCTCTAATAGTGTGTTACAAGAGAATTATCTCATTAAGACCTTTCCTTCAGGTTAGTTCTTCTCACTCACCTGCCTTAGCTTCAGACTCCAACCCTGACAGATCAGAAAGTGAACTAGAAGGCAAAAATAAAGGAGAAGACCACAAAGCTCAGGAAATATGAAAGATGCTGACAATCCTACCTTTCCGCTACGGACTTCCAGCCTGAAGCAGGCCCAAGCTGGGGGAAAGGAGAAGCTTTAGCTCTGCATGCAGGTGTAAAGCATTTCAGTTCTTAAAATGAGATTCTATGGTTAAAATTACCACAAAATTGTTTTAACTATCATAGAATGACCAGAAAAAATGACATTGGACACACACTACTCCTACAGAGCAAGTTAAAATGGGTAGAAAAAAAAAAATGTTTTTCTCCTGGAGATCAATGTATGTGTTCCTTCTTTTCAAAACAATAATTATTTATTTTTTGCTATATGACACACACTCTTCTTAGCCATGAAAATGAAGAAAAATACATTGATTGACTTAATATTCAATACAACTCTATGAGACCAACACTATTATTATCAATCCCACTTTACAGAAAAGGAAATTTAGGTACAGAAATCTGAAATAACTTGTCAAAAATCACTCAAATAGTGAGTGGCAGAGTTGGGATAGATTGTCACCTACAAGAATCAGTAAAATCAGAAGCATCAAGGACCAAAAAGAAATTCTGAATTTCAAGAATGCAATCTTTTCTTCCATAAAGACTATGAGCTGTTTTCCTTTCAAATAAATAGGCTACAATAACAGAAAAAAAAACTTATATCTTTTTTATGTTCTCACAAAGGCACTACACATATGAATCTAAAATAAATTACAAGTAAAATGGAAAGTTAAGATAAGGAGTAACTGAGCATATTTTATTTATTTCTAAACTATGTTTTCTGAATGTTGTATATAATGAAGAGGAAAACATATTAGATACTACAGAAAATCAAATTAATGATGTAGAAGAAAGCATGAGAAATTTTTCTAAAACATAAAGAGATGGAATAAAGGAATTAAAATGAGAATAAAGAAAACAAACCATGTGGAGAACAGATTCCCAAAGCTTAATCAAAATATATAAGGGTAGATACAGCAGAAACAATAATCAAATTAATGAGAAACTTCCTTCATCTAATAAAACTTCATTCTGACATCTGAGTAAGTGCCGTATTTCAGGAAATCAATAAAAAGAAAACAATATCAAAATATATCTAGTACAGTTATCACAGCTAAAAGGCAAAAAGAATTCTATAACCACCTAGGGAAAAAATAATACTAGGTACAAAGAAATAAGACACATTCTGCTCAGATTGCTCTGCAATACTAAACGCCAGGAGACTGTAGGCAATATTTATCAAAGTTTGAAGAAGTTATCCATGAATTTTGTTTTGAGAAAAATTGTCAATTTATATGTGAAGGCAGCAGAAAGATATTAGGTACGTAAGATGGAGAAAATATTTCCCAGGTGTATTGTCTGACCATATGAATCAAAGACACCCTGAAGGACAAAAATTAAAATCTAGGAAACTGAATGTCATGCCTAGAAAGGATTGGTGGTAAGCACTGACAACCAGTTAGTCATATTGAGATACTTACAAATGCAATAGAAACTCTTAATTGAACTCAATTAACAAGGGCCTCTATTCCGCCATGTAAATCCACTGATTCTCACTATTTGTTTAGTCTGTTAGAGCTCCCATAACAAAGTATCAGGGACTGACTGGCTTAAGCAACAGAAGTTAATTTGCTTACAGTTCTGGAGGCGAGAAGTCCAAGATCAAGGTGCTAGCAGAGCTGGTTTTCAGTGAGACTTCTTTTCCTGGCTTGGAGATGGCCGCCTTCTCCCTGTGTCCTCACATGGCCTTTTCTTGAATGAGTACTCCTGGTGTCTCTTCCTCTTCCTATAAAAACATCAGTCTTATTGGATTAGTGACCCACCTTGAAGACCATATTTAATGTTAATTATCTCCTTAAAAGGCCCTATCTTCAAATACAATCACAAAGGGGATTATAAACTTCAGTATACGAATGTGAGGGGGGACACAATTGTCTATTATAGTGTTCATAACTAACAGGCTACTCTTATTTCCCACTATAAAACCTACTAACTCTGAATGGTTATTGGTAAGGGTTACCCTTAGGGCAACAGACTACCTCCAATTTTGCTTCTATTAAGTTGCAAAATGATGAACTGAGAGTCAGCTATGATAAATTTCCAAATAAGAGCTATAATTACCAATTCAATAATTTATCTAAATATTGTACAGACCAATGGAATGGTTGTGTGAAAAGCCTAGAGAGTTTTTGTATCTAAGACCAATTCTAATGTTTGGAAAAACTCAATAAAAGAAAATTATATGATGAAATTGCTTAATTAATTAATCGTGGCTGAAGCAACTATAAAAGAATGAGGGTAAAATTTATAAACATCCAAAAGGATTCTACCCTCAAATTATTTCGAAAGTGTCCAATTTATCACTTCACATGAATTAAACAGAAACCAAAAACTGTGGATGTTATTTTCAGAAGGTTGTATATGTAAGAAAGCCAAAGTGGAAATACAATTAGCAGAAACATCCTCAAAAGGATGTCTCAATCCTACATCTAAACATAAAAATGAAATATACATAAGTGGCTTATGTTAAAATAAAAGGTTTAATTATATGTGTATTATTTTAATGAGTCAACTTTTTATTACTCAAGTAATTATGAATTATAATCATGTTATATAAGGATTCTTCTATATTTGTTTAAATAACAGTACAAATGTGACTATAAATCATTTTTTTAATTATTATTATTATAAGTTTTAGGGATAAAATTTTTATATATTTGTTTAAACAATAGGTTTATAACCCCAATTTTTATTAAAATTAGGTTATCAGAGTGACTTGGTAGGTTGCATAACGTTCATTTTTACATATAAATATTATAGTTATAATTCATGTAGGGGTTTCAGATATCGAGGAAGAAGGTGTGATGACTAGGGACAGTGGCACATGGAGGCTCTACTGGGCTATGCTGGGACAGAGTTGCACAAAAGGGGAGGCCTTTCACAGGGGGCCATCACCCTGAGGGGGAAGGAGGGCAAGAGAACTTCTGGAGAGGAGGGAAATCAGAGAGGGGGCTAAAATGTTAGGTGATTTTTGCTCAGCAATACAGCTGGAGTTGTGTGGGTCCAAACACTGTAAAGGGCAATAGGAACTTGGAGTCCTGTAACCACAAGACAATCTAATCAATGGCCCACAGAAATGGGGTGAGGTTTCTCATTGTATATGAAGTAGGCAGACTCTAAATGGCTAAAAATCTGTTTCTTGGGCTGGGCTATTTTTTAAATAGTTAGATGGACAAAAGTTTGAATTTGGTACCAGGAGCTTCTGAGTCTCTGTGTGTCAACCTGCAATAAAGAAATAAAAAACCTAAGGACCAAAGCACAATAGCTATCTTTGGATCTTTTATATACAATTATAAGTAGTATATACTTATATGTATATAAGTATTACATATGCCTATAAATATATGTGTTTATATATGCATATACTGATATTGTTTCATGCTGATATTTGTGATATTCAACCATGAAACTGCTGTACTAGAATTGCCATTAGTGATCATGAAAAAGAAGGGGTTGAATATTTATTTCCCCTAGTGAAAATAATTCAAGTGAACAAAAACTGCATATAGACAAAATCACTAATCATCTTTACCAAGTATAAATGTATATTTTAAAGTAATTGCACATAAATTATTTTAGCTTATATAAAATTGCCAAAAGAATGAACTATTGGCATGCTTTTCAGAGGAAATTTTAATTATTTTCTGTTTTCTCATCTTTATTTTTATTCTTCTGCTTCTTGTTTCCTTAGAGTCACTCTGGCATGGCTTCAAGGGAAAGAAAGTCAATTGAAATACATATTATTGATGTTACATTAACAGACTCCACAGCTAGCAATGTGAACCATGAATATACCCACATAAAATACAAATGGCTCCAATGTTGGGGGGAGGAGGGAAATAATAAATAACAGCTCTAAAATTGTGTGAAATGAAAATAAATTCATCACTTCAATAAATTAACAAACAGGACCCACTAGACTTATAAAAATGCAAAGCACTATGCACTTTAAATGAAGTTAATAAAAGCAGATGGGGAATATTTTATTAAGAAGCCATTAAACAATAAAACAAAATTCTAAGATAACTGTGGGTTGAAAGCTTGCTCTGAAACTAAAACATGAGTAATAACAAGGATTGGGATATATGTTAGGGGAAGGAGAAGCAGAATAGCTTAATTCAACAATTTATCATTAGGAACCCAGGTGCCCAGGATATCAAGGTGAATACAAAAATGTTTGTTTGTAGCAGGACGAGCCTCAGATAAAACCCCTCAGACACCGGGTTAAAGAAGGAAGAGGCTTTATTTGGCCAGAAGTGTCGGCAGACTTGCGTCTCAAGAACCGAGCTCTCCAAAGAAAGAGTTCTTGGCCCTTTTAAGGGCTTACAACTCTAAGGGGTCCACGTGAAAGGGTTGTGATAGATTAAGATCTATAGATACCACATGTGGTTAGAGTGAGGGGTTAATCTTTAACCTCAGGCCTGGTCAGTGGTGCGGGTTGGTCTTGCCACTGACTTCATTCCTATTTTTTTTCAGCTTTTACTTCCTCCTTCTCTTCAGAGACAGGAGACAGTAAGAGAAATGGCCTCTCTCCTCGCTCCCCCATTTGAGAACCTCACTCACTGGTGGGAGTTCTCACTCTCATCTGCACTACCCAGGTCTTCCTGTGAGACAGATCAATAGTGATACATGTAATACCCTTGTGCTGAGGTCTTTTGATGAACTAAGGTGGTAACAAAGCCTCTGGAGAAATACAGGTACCATACAGGCGAGTAACATGCAGGTTCCTAACACTGTTATTATTCCTATTATAAAAGTTTTAAATCCTCCTAGAGCTAAAAACCATTTTCCAAACAGGGATCCTGTGCCTGTGCCAAACCTGCACAGGCACATGTGCCAGCTTTGTCATGCCTCTAACTATCCTCATGCTCCGGCCATGTGTGGGCCAGTCAGCTTCCAGGTATGACTGGAGAAGGGCTTGCCATCTTGTTCAGAGTCACTTTGCAGGTGTTGTCCAGGCTTGGTCTCACCTCCCAGGTCTCAAGTGTTGCAGGTTTTACATAGCTATGGTGGATCCAGGCTGGGATTCCCTCTACCTTTACAGCTGTGGGAGTGGTCAGGACGACGGTCTGGGGTCCTTTCCACCGTGGCTGCAAGGGGGCTATGTTCCAATCCTTGATCCACACCCAATCACCTGGGGAGAAAGGGTGAACTGGGCACAATAAGCTGACAGGGCACCTCTCATTTACCCAGGCTGAAATTGTTTGTGTAATTTTCCCTAAAGCCTGTAGCTGTCACTGTAACTCAATTTCACCTAGCTCTCAAGGAGTGCCAGGGAGTCCCCATAGTATGGGAGGGGGCCTGTGATAGAATATTTCATAAGGGGAATATCCTGTTCTTTTAGAAGGGGTACATCTACTCTTAAACAATACCATAGGGAGAGCTTGTACCCACTTTAATCCTGTTTCTTGACACACTTTCCCTAAACTATTTTGATAGTCCGATTCATCCGCTCCACCTTTCCAGAACTCTGTGGTCGGTAAGTGGTATGTAGTTTCCATGTGATCCCCAATACCTTTGTTGTCTTCTGTACCAAGTCAGCCACAAACATCGGCCCATTGTCTGAGCCAATTCGTAAGGACAGTCCAATCTAGGGACGAGATCTCAGAGAAGCACACAGGTTACTTCACAAGCTTTCTCAGTTTGTGTTGGATAGGCCTCCACCCACCCAGAGTATGCACCCACTAGAACTAGCAAATACTTGTTACATCCACATTTGGGCATCTCGGTGAAGTCTACTTGGAGATCTTCAAAGGGGGCTGCTCCATAAGCTTGTATGTCAGGTGGGACGGTTGGACCTTGCCTAGCGTTGTACTGCCAACAGGTGACATACTGCTGCACCACTGTTTTGGCAAGGGCTGACAGATGTGAGATGCAGAAGTACTGGCCTAACAACTTTTCAAGTGACTCTTGGCCGAGGTGGGTGGTCTCATGTACAGCCAGTACGACTGCGGCTCCTAGCAGTTGTGGCACAGATATTCTTCCATCTGATAACCAGACCCATCCCTCTTCTATCACCTGCCCTCCCTCTGCCTGGAGAAAGTCCTTCTCTTCTTTAGAATAAGTAGCATACTGAGAGTCAGTGTAAATGTTTACAGTCTTAAATTCACTTAGCTCTAAGGCCCGAATAAAAGAAATGAGTTCGGCCTTCTGAGCTGAAGTACCCTGGGGCAACAATTTGGCTTCAATGACAGTGTCCAGGGTTACCACTGCACATCCCACATAGCTCTCTCCTTGTGGGCTGACGAAGCTGCTCCCATTCACGTACACTCCCAGTCTACTGATGTCCAAGGATGGTCTCACAGGTTGGGCCTGCTAGAATAAACTGAGTCCAACACCTCTACACAGTTATGTTCAACTGGGCTGATACCAGGAGTAAGGTGGTGGGGTTCAAGGTGTTGCAAACTTCAATGGTTATGTGGGTATTTTCACAGAGCAAGCTTTGGTACCTACTTAGTCTAGCATTTGTTAGTCAGTGATGTCCTTTGGTATTCATTAAAGTCACCATAGCATGGGGGCGCCTTTATGTTCAGGTTTTGCCCAAGAGTCAGCTTATCCACTTCTTGAGCCAGTAGGGCAGTTGCTACCAAGGCCCTCAAACATGGGGGCCAAACTTTAGGAGCCTCGTCTAGTTGTTTAGAGAGGTAGGCCACCAACCTCAGCCAGGGCCCCACAGTCTGGGTCAAAACTCCAACTGCCATCTTTTCTCTCTGACAAACATATTGTAAATGGCTTTGTTGGGTCAAGTAGCCCCAGGTCTGGGGCTGGCATGAGTTTCTCTTTTAACTCATGAAAAGCTCGTTGTTGTTGGGACCCCCGTTCGAAAGGTTCCTTGTCGGCCCCCTTTGTGACTCCATACAGGGTCTTGGCCAGTACTACAAAGTTTGGGATCCATAACCTGCAGAACCCCATAGCTCCTAAGAATTCTCTTACCTGCCTTCTGGTCTTAGGCTCTGGTAGGTTGCAAATGAACTGCTTTCTTTCTGATCCCAGGCTGTGCTCCCCCTATCGGATAGTAAATTCCAGGTAACGTACCTGCTATCTGCAGATCTGAGCTTTCTTCTTGGACACCTTATACCCACAGTCCTCCAGGTGCCAGAGCAGGGTATCCGTTCCTTTGGTGCACCTGACTGCCGTCAGGGGTCCCAGCAGGAGGTTGTCAACGTACTGGAGCAACACGCAGCCTAGGTCTCTGGTAGGAAACTTCTGGAGGTCTTGATCCAGCGCCTCCCCGAAGATGGTGGGGGAGTTCTTCAACCCTTAGGGAAACCGGGTCCAAGTATACTGAGTGGTGACAGCTGACCCCAGATCTTCCCACTAAAAGGCAAACAGTTTTGGCTGTCTGTCCCTTTGCCACTAGTACTGCTGCTGCCTGTCCTCTTACCACTGTGGGAGGTCTAAAACCAGCTGTAACCAAATGTCTATGTACAGAAACTGGTCTGGGTGTCCTGGCTTACCAGTTACCTTGTGTCATACTTTGAAACAAGGGACCTGTTTAGGCTTCCTTCTGATAGTCAACCCACTTCTAATGCCGGCCAGTCTATCTCACACAAAGTTCTAAATTTTCCTTGTGTCATAGTGTGTCCGGAATTGGTGGGTTCTTGGTCTCACTGACTTCAAGAATGAAGCCGCAGACCCTCGCGGTGAGTGTTACAGCTCTTAAGGTGGCACGTCTGGAGTTGTTCGTTCCTTCTGGTGGGCTCGTGGTCTCGCTGGCTCAGGAGTGAAGCTGCAGACCTTCGTGGTGAGTGTTACAGCTCTTAAGGCGGCATGTCTGGAGTTGTTCGTTCCTCCCAGTGGGCTCGTGGTCTCGCTGCCTTCAGGAGCGAAGCTGCAGACCTTCGCGGTGAGTGTTACAGCTCATAAAAGCAGTGTGGACCCAAAGAGTGAGCAGTAGCAAGATTTATTGCAAAGAGCGAGAGAACAAAGCTTCCACAGTGTGGAACGGGACCCGAGCGGGTTACCACTGCTGGCTCGGGCAGCCTGCTTTTATTCTGTTATCTGGCCCCACTCACATCCTGCTGATTGGTAGAGCCAGAGTGGTCTGTTTTGACAGGGCGCTGATTGGTGCGTTTACAATCCCTGAGCTAGACACAAAGGTTCTCCAGGTGCCCACTAGATTAACTAGATACAGAGTGTCCATTGGTGCATTCACAAACCCTGAGCTAGACACAGGGTGCTGACTGGTGTGTTTAAAAACCTTGAGCTAGACACAGGGTGCTGACTGGTGTGTTTACAAACCTTGAGCTAGATACAGAGTGCCGATTGGTGTATTTACAATCCCTGAGCTAGACATAAAGGTTCTCCAAGGCCCCACCAGAGTAGCTAGATACAGAGTGTCCATTGGTGCATTCACAGACCCTGAGCTAGACACAGGGTGCTGATTGGGGTATTTACAATCCCTGAGGTAGACATAAAGGTTCTCCGTGTCCCCACCAGACTCAGGAGCCCAGCTGGCTTCACCCAGTGAATCCGCACGGGGGCTGCAGGTGGAGCTGCCTGCCAGTCCCGGTGCCGTGCGCCCGCACTCCTCAGCCCTTGGGTGGTCGATGGGACTGGGTGCCTGGAGCAGGGGGCGGTGCTCGTCGGGGAGGCTCAGGCCGCACAGGAGCCCACGGTGGTGGGGGGAGGTGCTCAGGCATGGCGGGCTGCAGGTCCCCAGCCCCGCCCCGCGGGGAGGCAGCTAAGGCCCGGCGAGAAATCGAGCGCAGCGCCAGTGGGCCGGCACTGCTGGGGGACCCAGTACACCCTCCGCAGCCGCTGGCCCGGGTGCTAAGCCCCTCTTTGCCCAGGGCCAGCAGGGCCGGCCGGCTGCTCCGAGTGCGGGGCCTGCCAAGCCCAAGCCCACCCTGAACTCCAGCTGGCCCGCAAGCGCCACGCGCAGCCCCGGTTCCCGCTCGCGCCTCTCCCTCCACACCTCCCTGCAAGCTGAGGGAGCCGGCTCTGGCCTTGGCCAGCCCAGAAAGGGGCTCCCATAGTGCAGCGGTGGGCTGAAGGGCTCCTCAAGTGCCACCAAAGTGGGAGCCCAGGCAGAGGAGGCGCCGAGAGCGAGCCAGGGCTGTGAGGACTGCCAGTACGCTGTCACCTCTCAATAGTAACTCCATACATAGTCTCCATTAAATCCTTCCTGAAATTTTTCAACATAGTTCCTAGCGGAGTGGGCTTACTTTGCGTTCCACCTATTTTCCTCCCGAGACAAAACAACACTCACACCACAAGAAGGAAAGGGTAAAGGGGTCATTCACTCACCTTGCCCATCTTAAACTCAAGCACTCACTCACTTTCACTTTCCTTTCTGCAAACAGGTCAAGCCAAATCAAAATCAACACTGAGACCAAAGTGCCGATAAGGGCACACCGAGGGTGATCAGGCCACCCTTCCACTCAAATAAAGTGGGCAAGTTCCCAGGACCCGTCCTACCGTATTCCAGATGTCTGGACTCCAAGCGCGGTTCCTTCCCAGTGTTCAGCTGCTGCGTTGATCCTCCGCGGGGGGGCCTGCCCTGCACTGCTCTGATGAGGTGTTCCACTAGGGCAAATGCCTACCCGGCAGCGCTCTCAGGATCCATGTCTCTCAAGCTAGCCAGAGTTCCCCGCAGGGATGGTCCGCAGGGCAGGCATAAGCCATCTAAGGGGCTGCCTCGACCTTCCATTAATCACCTCGCTTCCTGGCCAGGCAACCAAGAAATGTAGCAGGATGAGCGGCAGACAAAACCCCTCAGACACCTGGTTAAAGAAAGAAGACACTTTATTCCACCAGGAGCGTCAGCCGACTTGGCGTCTCAAGAACCCAGCTCCGAAGAATGAGTTCCTGGCCCTTTTTAATGGCTTACAACCCTAAGGGGTCCACGTGAAAGGGTCGTGATAGATTAAGGTCTATAGATAGCACATGTAGTTAGAGTGAGGGGTTAATCTTTAACCTCCGGCCTGGTCAGTGGCACCGGTTGGTCTTGCCACTGACTTCATTCCTGTTGTTTTTCAGCTTTTACTTCCTCCTTCTCTTCAGAGACTGGAGACAGTAAGAGAAATGGCCTCTCTCCTCATGTTCAAGGATCACCATATATAGGCAGCCATTGTAGTTGCCTTAAAGTAATTCAAAGTCTAGTGGATAACAAAACAAAGTATATATTGGTCTTTTTCTTCATAATTATAGTGTCTGTCTTTCCCACAAGACCTTTTGAATATAAAAACTGTATTTTCAGGTTTTTTTACTGTATTACTAACACTTGAACAGTGATGTTTGCATTCATAGGCACTCAATAAGCATGTGCGTGTTTTTTTGTTTGTTTGTTTTGTTTTGTTTTTTGAGTCGAAGTCTTGCTGTGTCACCCAGGCTGGAGTGCAGTGGCTCGATCTCGGCTCACTGCAAGCTCCGCCTCCGGGGTTCACGCCATTCTCCTGCCTCAGCCTCCGGAGTGGCTGGGACTACAGGCGCCCGCCACCACGCCCAGCTAATTTTTTGTATTGTTAGTAGAGACAGGGTTTCACCATCTTAGCCAGGATGGTCTCGATCTCCTGACCTCGTGATCCGCCTGCCTCGGCCTCCCAAAGTGCTGGGATTACAGGCATGAGCCACCGTGCCCGGCCACATATACATGTGTTAAATTGCTTAATAAACATTATGGGAAGAGCACCAGCTTGGATTCTTGTTCTGCCTCAAGCATAAAACCAGAGTTTAGCCAAGAAATCCTACTACCTGCACTGAATTTTGCTATGTAAAGTGTTTTTTCCTTCCTGAAGACTCTCATTTCAAGCTTAGAGGTTCTCAAAGCTCAACATTTTTCTTTATCTCTAGATAGAGAACCCACCTTATGTAGGAATTGGGGAAATGTTGCATAGCTTTCTTGTTAAACTATAGATAATATCTGATTAGAACATCAAAGCGAAGGGTAAACTTCAGAGTATGAATTTGAAGCCCAGTTAAATACCTGTAGCTCTAAAATAGTGTGCTGGATAGACTAGCCAATCTGGTGTTTCCACTACCCCATTTCAAGATCTCTTTTGTGACTCAGAAGACATACCAGAATCCACATTTCACAGAGTCCCCTTCCATATTTGATTCCGCGTTGCATTTTCGGATGACAGGCACCGGTAAAGAAACCGAATTCTCTCAGACATTTGTAACCTGAACAGAACTGAGATGCACAGCAGCTTCCTGACAAGTTTTTACAAACCACCCATTTCACTAATGCAGACTGGGAAAATTGGTGGGAATCTCCTAGGAATTTTATAGTATTAAAGTAGTTTCTAGAAAAATTATTAAGAACCACCACTTTGATATTTTGGGCTAAGATCTTGGGTAGAAGTCTTCCTGACCTTCGTTCCTTCAGCTCCTCTAACAGTTGTATGAGCCTCTATTTCCCATAGTAAGCTTCTGTATCCTAATCACTTAGTGAACGAATAATTAGTTATGTGAGTAATCTCAGACAATACTGTTGTCTGTGTTTTCTCCACTTGTTAAGTACAGACAAAAAGCTAGAGTGGAAGACATCAGATAATTGTCTTTGCATCTACATTAGCAAATAGCAACATTAGTTGTATCGGTAGTAAAGAACCCCATCTCAGATTCGTGGGTTTCTTAGCATTTTCTAACAATGAAACCTGATATGTGAGATAGGACTGATCCAAACAATTTCCTGGGCTTGTAGGCAAATGAATTCACATTGTGGTGCTCCTCATCCCTTTTGCAATCAAAGTAATCTGTAAGCTTGCTCCTGGTTCAGTGCTTTCATTATTTCAAATGCAAGTAATTGTAGTACATTAAAAGAGCCTATTCCTCCTAGCTATGAATATCCTGCTCAAATTGGACTTCTTCACATCTATACATGGCATATCTCTATTATTTTCTAGACTCAAAGCCACCTGCCTTGACAGAAACTTCAGTTTGAATTCAAGGGACTGCTTAACATTTTTGGCTTCTTCTTTTCTCTATCATTATATTCTGGGCTTTATAGAGGTAAAATTGGGCTATATATTTACACATTCTGACTAATACAAATGTCAGAGGCATGTGAACCAGAGTAACTCCATCTTAAATAGGAGCTGGGTAAAATGAAGCTGAAACCTACTGGGCTGCATTCCCAAATGGTTAAGACATTCTAAGTCACAGGATGAGATAGGAGGTCGGCACAAAACACGGGTCATAAAGACCTTGCTGATAAAACAGGTTGAGGTAAAGAAGCCTGCTAAATCCCACCAAAACCAAGAAGGCCACAAGAGTGACCGCCGGCCTTCCTTACTACTACACTAGCGTCAGTGCCATGACAGTTTACAAATGCCATGGCAACGTCACAAAGTTACCCTATATGGTCTAAAAAGGAGAGGCATGAATAATGCCTTGTTTAGCATATCATCAGGAAATAACCATAAAAAATGGGCAACTAGCAGCCCTCGGGGCTGCTCTATGAAGTAGCCATTCTTTTATTCCTTTACTTTCTTAATAAACTTGCTTTCACTTTGCACTGCAGACTCACCCTGAATTCTTTCTTGTGCAAGATCCAATAACCCTTTCTTGGGGTCTGGATCAGGACCCCTTTCCTGTATCACAAAGAGTGCTTACTTCATAATTTTCATAAACCATATTTTAAACAATATTTTCATTGTACCTCTGAATTAGAAATGAAATAATTTTTAAAATGCTGTGGGTAGAAATATGAGTTGAGAAATTTTGCTTTAGACCACTTTATAACCAGGTTCTAAATGTTCTACTGTGGACTGTTGAATTAGTCTCTTAATTGGCCTCTCCACCTCTAACTGCTCTCTCTCCTCCATTTTCAATATCTTGCGTACTAACTGTTCTACATTCTCTAAGATTACATGGGACTGTATGGATCAGTTCTGAGATAATGTGGGCAGAAGAGAAATGTTCTTCCAGGCTTGCCTTCCAAAAAATTTCCCATAAGTAAGTTAGGTGCAGAGGGCCCAATAGAAGACAATGAGGCCCTAGGAGTTTGCAGAAGGAGCCTAGGTCTTTGAAGAAGTAGAGCTTCCCCACTGACCTATTGGATTATAAGATGAGCAGGAAAAAAAAAATAATTCTTTGTTAAACCATTGAGATTTTAGAAGTTAATGGTTAAGAGTATGTTAGCCTAATCTGATTAAATAAGTCAGCCTAGTCTATCTAATCTCATCTCTGAAACCTATCTATGAAACAGAATCTGAATATTTTACAATTATTTTCTAAGATATCCCACCAGGAAACTGTTCTAGTATACTCATCTCCTTCCTTTGACAGACCTCATGTATAAAATTACAGTTTGGATTAACTGAACTAACTTTAACATGATCTGAATAATCTAAATATACTCACTTTTTTCCTCCATTTACATTTTCTTTTCTCAAAGATTTGCCTCTTAAAATCCTACAAAAATCCATTAAGGTGACTAAATTGTCAGGATTATTATATTTTTGTGAATGTGTGAGTTGGAGTGTACAGAATAAAATAAGGTCTGTCTGGTAAAAATAAATGTATTACATCATACAAAAATAGAAACTTTCATCTGTGAACTAGGGTTTGTAGCATTTTGATTTTTAAATTATCTATAGATGAGTTTCACTTAAAGAAAAGATATTCTGGTTTCAAATGGAAAGACAAGCCTCACAATCTATTTTGTACTCAGTATCATGGTGCATTAGACAAAATATTAAGCAAATAGTTGAATGTCAATCCTAATTTTTAAACCTGTCTCTGATTTTCTTTACCGAGATGGGTAATGTATTGTGGCCTTGGCATTGTTTTACTGGTTTGTTTCACCTCAATAAAGGTAGGATCCATAAACAAAATTAAAGACATCCACTCTGAAGAATGATGGTTTATCATTGTGATAAACTCATGTGGAAAATCTATATAAATGATCTTACACTGCTTGAGTCAGGTTTATATAGAGTTATCCTAAGACATAATAAAATATATGTATATACTGATCTGTCAGCATTCTAAAGCATGAAAATCATCTTCTTTATGTTGTATAAGAGTTGACTTCATGCATGGGAAAACATGGAGCCTTAAGGCTCAGTTGACATGTGGAAGAAACAATCTGTCTACACAGAGCACCATCTGTTTACAGTTATTGTTTATCAAAAGGATGTAAGAAGCATTATCTTGTGAACTATCACACAGAAGCCATTGTTGTATCATCCTCATTGAGTAGCTGCATAGCACAAAAATAGCACTTGGAAAAAACTGTGGAATCTTTATTTTCCCCTTCCAAAATCAAAGTCATTTCTTGTCAATGCTTAAATTATATAGCAACAAAATAGTCAGGTTTACTTCTTGTTTCCTTAGCATCCAAAATTATTAGAAATGACCAAAAATGGTTTGAGTGTAGTGTTGTATCTTTAAACCCCAATTTGTGTATTTCAGGGTTTTTAATACACAATAAGTAGGCAAGTATTAACTGAATTTAACTGAAGTAACTGATATGGCATCTAAACACACAAATCAGAATTTTAAAATGTATATATATATATATACATATATATACATGTATATATATGTATATATGTGTGTATATATGTATATGTGTATATATATGTATATATGTGTATATATATGTATATATGTGTATATATATGTATATATATGTGTGTGTGTATATATATATATATATATATATATATATATATATATATATATATACTGTATTTGGACTAAATGAAAATTGCTTCCTATCTTGTTTTGGCATAAACAAAACACAATAAAAAGTCAGAAAAGATGAAAATCGATTATCTATAATTTTGGACAGGAACAAATATAATATAAGCCCTGCTGTTAATAAACATAAAAGAAAATTTATTATATTACTTAGAAAGGAGTTGAACTAACTCTAAAAACCTTATTCCTTTTATATATATGATCTTTTTTTCTCTTCACTGAGCCTTAATGTTTTTGTAGATTTCTACCCTCACATTAGGTGATATCAAGGTACTACTCCTTCTCTTTGCTGGAGTAACATCACAGGAGGCCTAATAGAGAATCAGGATGTTAGCACTACCCAGTTTTAAAAGGCCGTCCTTCCCACAGAGTGTAAGGTAGGCCACTTGAGGAGCAAACCAGGCACGTCTAGCCCCTTCCAGCCAGTACAATATCATCTGAGGCCCTAGTGGAGAGCTGGAATTCTCGTTCCCAACTAGCAATGACAAGGAGTAACACCTTCCTCACCATTAACTGGGGACAGATGGAGAACCCAACACCTGGGAGGAAAAAGATGACTTGCCTCTCCCTTGATGGAGTTATGCCTGAAGAGGCCCTGCTATAACACAAGACTTAGATAAGATCCAGAGTTTTACAGTATGAAATGCAAAATGTTCAGGCTTCAATTGAAAATCACTAGTCATACCAAGAACCAGAAAAATCTCAACCTGAAGGAGAAAAGACTATCAATAGATGGAAACACTGAAATAACACAGATGTTACATATCTGATAAGATTTTAAATTGGCCTTCATATAATTACTTTAACAAGCAATTATGAACATGATTGAAACAAATGAAGGAAAGATAAGTCTCAGTAAAGAAATAAAGCATTTAAAATGAACCAAATGAAAATTTTAGAAATGAAATTTATACATCAACAGATACGTCAACAACAGAATGGAGAGGACAGCAGAAAGAATCAGTAAATTGACACGACCAGCTGGCCCTGATTGGCCCTTGAATTCTTTTCCTGGGTGAAGCCAAGAATCCTCCTCCGCTAAACCCCAATTTTGGGGCGTGCCTGTCCTACATCAGTATAAATGGGGAATTCGACACAGAGATTTGCCCAGGTAGTTATTATGTGAGTTCTTCATTTTCTCTTTTATAAAATTTTCAGACTCTAGAATAAAAATTATTTTGATCAGAAAGTCTTTGAAATATTAAACTTCAGTATTTACCATAACACCATTTCTGACCTGCTAGTATGAAAGTAAGGATCTCTTGCTTTCAAACTAGTTGAAAATACCAAATATGAAATAAGACCATCTTGTTTAATGTATTGCATAAATTGTGTGGGTAGACAGCAGAGTAGGTCGTAAAAGAAATGGGGACATGAGAGTAGGAGTAGGGGTCGGGAGAGTAGTTTACAGAGCTCAACAAAATCACAGTCTAGCCAGGATATATAGATTTTAGTAACTCAGACTGACAAGGGATTTTTTAATTGATTTCAAGTAGTCATTATGAGCAACATTTCTATGATTTCTGCATCAATTCAACCAAATTACCATCTATATCTACTTCTGACCTGAAGGGATGTAAACCTACTAAGATGTCAAAGCTACTTTCTGTTATAACCAGGTATCTCTCAGAGCTCAAGATTAATGAAAAAATAAATCTCAGCACAAACCAAAAGAAAAGAAACATTCTATTCAACAAACTCAAACAATTTGATTTTTAGTCTAGCTTCATAACACACCTGAGATGAATATATATATTCTGCAACAGTATATATATATTTTTTTTCCAGGAAGAGAGCATGCCCAGAAAATAAAGATATGGGGTTTTCGGTGGGAAAATTACCCTCAGGAACCTACTCAGCAGGACTGTCCCTGAATTTTCTGAGCCCTAGAGCAGCTTCCTAATTCAGGATGGTACTCGGGTCACAGAGGTAAAATTTCTTTCCTTACAGTAGATTTTTCAAGGTAGTATTTTAGGTTTGAATATCATACATTCAAGAAGTAATCTTAGAAAATTGAGTCATTGGAAGAAAGAGGTAGCATCATTTGGGGAAAAATAGTGTTTGCTTTTTGTGTTTTCATAAAATTTATAGTTGGATTGTACAGGTTTGTTTTATTCATAATAATATAAAAGTAGGAATATTTCAGATATTTTTAGTTTTATACACGTTGAATAAAGTGATTTTAGCTTAATATGAATTTATTTACAGTATACAATAAGTGAATCTTTAGCAACGTTTTGAAAAAACAAATTTTCTGATATATTTTTACATTCTAGAAAAATTCTCCATTCCAGACTACATCCACCATAAATGAAATACATGTATAGTATAGCATTTTAAATTTATTGATAATTACTTGCAAAGTAAAAGTCTTTCACCATTAATTACTTAGCAATTTATCATTTTCTCAAAAAGCCAGGATGAAAAATCTCATTATCAACTATGGTTTCAAAATATAAATTAAATTCAAAGGACCAATAGCAATCCTTTCCTTCTGCCTACCTAAATATCAAGGACTTGAATAAATTCAATCATCAACATTAAATACATTCAATCACTTTCTCTTTTGTTTACAAATGTATTAAAAGATGATTCTCAAGCAAAAGAATAATTTTAAGGTTACTAGTTTTCTACTTTTAAGATTATTACTTTTTTTCTTGTTTATATGCTTTCTTATACCCCTTTGTTCTCCACCTAGTAAAAGTTATTCCAAAAGAGGTTATCCAGCTTAATAATGCACATAAATTAGTACTATTAGACTATTAAGAAGGTACTAGTATAAATAAAACTTAATAATAAAATGGATACTTCTTATTTTCTGATTCTCTCATTCCATATGTATTAAAACTACCATAGTTCCTATATACATATATGCCTCTTTCCCAATGCAAGTATGATATACTTTTATTTTGTTATTTGGTTTTCTATCTTTGATTTACATGTTTACACTGACATTTTTTAAGACTCTATTTGCTTAAGGTACAAAAAAATGTATTATTTACTGCAATCTCAACTATTAAAGCTAAAGCATTTCGAAAGCAGCTAGGCAAAGAAAACTGGATGTGATATTCCCAGACAACAGCAAAGCATTAAATGAATTCCATAGCTATAGCAAAACTTTTCTTTTAAAATAGCAAAAAGATATTTATATCAAACTGCATCATCATAATCAAATATAGCATTATTATACTGAATATTGACTTTGTACATCATGCAAGACTTCGCAATTGCTGAAATATATTAAAAATCAAATGACAGGTGTGACAAAATCTACTGCTTGTGTGCCTTCAACTACATTAATTCTCATCACAAACTGAAAGAAAAATGTATCACATGAGATAAAGAATATAAAGAACAACTCCAAGGGTTATTATCTTGTCACTTTCTATAAATCCAGACTTACACAATAGCCATTCTTTTAAGTGAATGAAGAACTAGAATACATTACAGACCAGAGCTGATTTCTTGCTAAGACCTCTGTTTCAATTTACCCTTCTGTCCTTGTGATCAATCCAAGTCCATGGCTTCAAATTAATTCATACATTGATGATGCTTACATTAGCTCTATCTCGGAATTATTCTTTGAGGTTTATATCTATTATGGGCAATTCCCATTCAATATTTTATTTGGATGTCTCAGGAGCTCCTCAATTTTAACAAATCCAAAAGTAAACCAAAGTTTACCATTTCCCAAGCATTCCATTTTACCTCCTAAATATTATTTTATCTATTTATTTATCTCTCTATCTCTATTGCAAGCACACCAGGTCAATTTATTATGATCTGTCATTAACTGCACTATGGCCAACCCCCTTCCTACTGGTCTCCTAGAATTTATTCTTGCCCCTAGCCTATCCATTCTTCATTCAACAGCCAGAAGCATCATTTTAAATGACAAAATAATAAAAATGACCTTGAGGAAAAGAAGTGGCCAAATGTATGTTGTACTATTTTCAAATAAAATGATAAACAACTAGAGAACAATGAATAGAGTGTTGAAAAAATGTCAAACATTAGTCTTGTCAATGGTGACATTGACAAGATCAGATTCAGTGGAGAGGTAGGAATGGAAGCCAGAGTGAAGTGAAATGAAGCAAATGACAGGTGAGGAAATGAAAATACCATATGAAGACAACCATTTTAAGGAGTTTAAAAACGGAAGCAGAGGACTGGGGCAGTAGCAGCATTAAACTATCGGATCAAGAGAGGAATTTCTTAAGATGCACGGTTATGAAAAACATTTGTATGCTAAGGGCTCCATCATGCCCCAGTAGGACAGAGCAAGCAAGGAAGAAAAAGTCAGGTTTCTATTTTTTGAATGGAAAATTTTTATATCAGATCTGTGGTTCATACAACGTTTCTTCACCCAAAACTTTGGCTCTTTAGGTAAAACTGTAGTTAACAAGGGACAGTAAAGTAACTGGAGTGATGGTTTCCTGTCTCTTTTTCTCCTCTCATAAGGTATCATGCTGCATGTAAGGTATTCAGCTGTTTGAAATGAAGTACCCTAACCAAACAAAAGGCATTAGAGAATGGTCACTGTAGACTGGGCATGGTGGCTCACGCCTGTAATCCCAGCACTTTGGGAGGCCAAGGAGGGCGGATCACCTGAGGTCAGGAGTGTGAGACCAGCCTGGCCAATATGGTGAAACCCCATCTCTACTAAAAATGCAAACATTAGCCAGGTGTGGTGGCAGGCACCTGTAATCCCAGCTGCTTGGAAGGCTGAGGCAGGAGAATAGCTTGAACCCAGAAGGCAGAGGTTGCAGTGAGCCAAGATTGTGCTGCTACATCCCAGCCTGGGGGACAGAGTGAGACTCCATCTCAAAAAAAAAAAAAAAAAAAAAAAAAGAGAGAGAGAGAGAATGGTCATTGTTTGTCACTGTAGAGCTCTGCCAGAGTGGGGACTACTGCCACTTGTCGCTTTAAAATTAAACAGATTATAGTAAGAGACAATTAGTGTCAGCCAAATGAAGTGTCCAATGACCACATTTTCTCAAATTTCTGGGTAACGGAGTCATACTCCCCATATCCACAAGCTTTCTGACATGAAATTATACCAGAATGTGAAAATAAACGTAAGTGGAGCCCTGGAGGCCAGTAGCAAAGAGTGTGTGAAAAGATGAAATAAGGATAGCAGTACGAAAGTTTCTCTATTTGCAACGTTACATCTACTATGGATTTTTATGTAAAAGCCCAGGTTCTAGAGATTAACTAATTGAGTTCAGAACCCATGTAGAACTCACCATTTACTAGCAGGGCAATTCAGAGCAGTTTTCTGGAAAGGATAGTTTTCTTTGAACAATAGAACCAAAATTATAAGACTTCGTAAGATTTAAAAGAAAAACTGTATGAAAAATACTTAGCAAAATACTTAGCAAAATGTGCCACATGAATTATTCAGTGGTCACTATTATTATTATTATTCCAACTAATAAGAATGAAACGCAGCAACAGTGAGTTAAATTTGCCGACCACCAATAGAAAGTGTATTCACAGAATGGCTAGTGTAGTTAAACCTAAATTTATAAATAAATAGACTCCCATTCTCATTATTTCTATCAACATCATATAGAAGGTCCTAGACAGTACTATAGATATACAAGATATATAAAAAGCACAAATATTTGAAATGGAAATTTCAAACTATCTTTATTTGAAGACAACATAATTGCTTAATTTTCTCAATCTACCCATCTGACAAAGGGCTAATATCCAGAACCTACAAAGAACTCAAACAAATTTACAAGAAAAAATCAAACAACCCCATCACAAAGTGGGCAAAGGATATGAACAGACACTTCTCAAAAGAAGACATTTATGCAGCCAAAAGACATGAAAAAATGCTCATCATCACTGGCCATCAGAGAAATGCAAATCAAAACCACAATGAGATACCATCTCACACCAGTTAGAATGGTGATCATTAAAAAGTCAGGAAACAACAGGTGCTGGAGAGGATGTGGAGAAATAGGAATGCTTTTACACTGTTGGTGGGACTGTAAACTAGTTCAACCATTGTGGAAGACAGTGTGGCGATTCCTCAGGGATCTAGAACTAGAAACACCATTTGACCCAGCCATCCCATTACTGGACATATACCCAAAGGACTATAAATCATGCTGCTATAAAGACATATGCACATGTATATTTATTGTGGCCCTATTCACAATAGCAAAGACTTGGAGCCAACCCAAATGTCCATCAGTGATAGACTGGATTAAGAAAATGTGGCACATATACACCATGGAATACTATGCAGCCATAAAAAAGGATGAGTTCATGTCCTTTGTAGGGACATGGATGAAACTGGAAACCATCATTCTCAGCAAACTATCGCAAGGACGGAAAACCAAACACCGCATGTTCTCACTCATAGGTGGGAATTGAACAATGAGAACACTTGAACACAGGGTGAGGAACATCACACCCCAGGGCCTGTCGTGGGGTGGGGGGAGGGGGGAGGGATAGCATTAGGAGATATACCTAATGTAAATGACGAGTTAATGGGTGCAGCACACCAACATGGCACATGTATACATATGTAACAAACCTGCACATTATGCACATGTACCATAGAACTTAAAGCATAATAATAATTTTAAAAAAAGAAAAATACTTAGCAAAATGTGCCAAATGAAGTATTCAGTGGTCACTATTATTACTATAATTCTAACTAATAAGAATGAAACGCAGCAACAGTGAGTTAAATTTGCCAACCACCAACAGAAAGTGTATGCACAGAATGGCTAGTGTAGTTAAACCTAAATTTATAAATAAATAGACTCCCATTCTCATTATTTCTATCAACAACATTTAGAAGGTCTTAGACAGTACTATAGATATACAAGATATCTAAAAAGCACAAATATTTGAAATGGAAAGTTAAAACTATATTTGAAGACAACATAATTGCTTATATACAAAATCTAAAACAATCTATGAGGCAAGTAACGTAGCTAATATATAGCTTTAGCAAGGACACAAGATATAAATTCAATATATCAAAGCCAATCATTGACTATATATAAGCTGGAAACGACTGAAAAATAAAATTCTAATTCTCTTTTCATTTAAATCTGAAATTTTAAGTATAAAATTAATTACAATAAATATCAGATTTTATGTAAAACACATGAATAAATTTAACAAAATACATGCAAGACATCTACTCCAAAAAGGAAAGTATAAATATTTGCTAAGCAAATTAAAGAAGGCTAAACAAATAGAAGGATATACCATGTTCGTTAAATAAAAAACACAGTATTTTTAAATGTCTATAGATTCCATGTGACCCCAGTGAAAACCTTAATTTTTTAGTATTAGTATAAAAGTAGTAATAGAAGGCTGTAAAACAGAACAGAGAGCCTAGAAATTGATCCTCACTAAAATGTCAATCAATTTTCATCAAAGGAAAATCTTTTCAATAAATAGTATTGCACCAACTGGATAAATATATGGACAGAAATCTGAATCTTGACCTAGCACCTCACACCATGCAAAAAAGTTAATTTCAGATGAAACATACTTAAAAGTCAAACCTTTAAGGATTATAGAATAAAATGTAGAAAAATATCTTCACATCCATGAATGGGCAAAGATTTACTAGACAGATGGGAAAAAGCAATCAATTAGAGTTCATCAAAAATTTATTTTGCTCTCAATAGACAAAATTAAGAAAATAAAAAGGCAAGCCACAGAGTAGGAGAAAATATTCACAAAACATATCTAACAAAAACATGTGTCCATAATATGTAAATATCTATTTACATTTTTATAAATTTATATAAATATATTTGTATTAATTTTGTATATTTATGTAATAAATGTAAATATGTGTTTATAAATTCACTTTGTATACATCATTTGTTAGATATTTCTGTGACCATATGAATATATATACATATAATTTTTAAATCTTCCATCTCAATGATAAGACAAACTGATAAAAAAGAGCAAAAGATATGAATACACATTTCATAAAGAAGGATATATAAATGGTCAATAAGCACATTAAAAGTGCCTGATATTACTATTCATTAGGAATATTCAATGAATTTTGTGAGATAGATTCCACTTCTTACCCATCAGAATGCCTAAAATTAAAAAAAAAAAAAAAAGATACAACAACAAAGGTTGGAAAGACATTGAAGCAACTGGAACTCCTATGCATTGCTGCTGGTGGGAATGTAAAACATACAACCACTTTTAAAAATATTTGGCCTTTTATATAATTAGAAGCACTTATTACCCAGAAATTTCACTCATAAGTATTTTTACAAGAGAAATTAAAATATTTGTTCTTAAAAAGACCTGTGCAAGGATTTTCACAGCAGTTTAATTCATAATAACCAAAAGTGGAAACTAGCCAGGTGTCTATTGATGGAAGAATGGATAAATAAACAGTGTCATATTAATACAATGAAATACTACTCAGCAATAAAAAGAAAAATACTACTCGTACATATAGCTGCATGGCTGAATGTTACAGACATTAAGCTGAATGAAAGAAACCTGACACAAAAGTCTACAGCAGGTAAAACTAAGATATGGTGAAAAAAATATAAAACAGAAGAGCAGTTGCCTCTGGTTGATGGGGAGTACACTGACTGAAAGGGGGCACAAGGGAACTTTCTGGGGTGATGGAAATGTTCTGTAACTTGAATGGGGTGATTGTCACACAAGTGTTATTTATCAAAACTCATGAATTACAGTGCACTTAAGGTTTGTGCATTTCACTGCACATAAACTTTACTTCAATAAACGTGGAAAAAATAAAAGAAACATGAGGGGAAGGGGAGGGGGAACTCTGAGGACAGCCATTTAGAATGTAATCTGTTTGGAAATCAGAGTTCCTCTGTTGAAGGAGATTATCATTAGTGTGACAGTTCTTTCCATTGGATTCAGGTTGCAAAGTAATAACTCATCCATTCATTTGTTCATTCATTTCTGCAATAGTTTTTTTGAGCAAACATCATATGTCAGACACTGTAACTGGATCTGTGGGTATGCAGAGAAGTGAGTTCCCTATATTTAAGGAGCTTAGTCCATTCAAAGGCCATTTCACAAAGGCACTCTGTGACCTCCTCCACACAAGTGTGTGAACACGTGTGTGCATGCACAGGCACACACACATACACAGAGAGGTGTTTTAAATGTTTTTTTTTTTTACAATAATTTCACTTGAGGAAACAACTAAATGTGGAGTTTCTCTAAAGTGCTAGATAGCCTATATAACCATATTTTTCCTCCTATGTTTTGGTATTATAAAACAAACACAAAGAAAAAAGAGATGGGATTTATTTTGGTAAAGCATTTCACAGGATATTCAGTCAGCACAACTTGTTTGAATTTATGCATGTGTAAAATATAACCTTTTCACCTGTGCTACCAGGTTAGCCTGAACATTTATGTAACATAGATTATATCATCATCTTAACATCATTTTACCTTTTTAATATTTAAAATTGCTACACAAAATAGCGAATACTCATATTTCATTGAAGATGTTTACATTATGTTAGGTAATTGGTTAAGATATGTAATTTATTGAAATAAATATTTTAATTAGGTTTTTTCTCTAAATAAAACTATTTCCCTACATTTAGTTTATATTATTTACAAGGACATAAAAAGCAGCAAGAGATGAACTTCATGTTTTTCAGAAGGTCGTATTTATCAAGTGAAGAATTCCTAGAGCCCAAGAGATGCCTGGAGTGATTCCAGATTTCAGGCATTACAACTGTCAACCTACTTAAAAATTAATTACTTGCAGAACATTTAATTAGCTATATGTTTCTTCAGTGAAATTATTTCACTATATCAATTTTATATTACTGTCTTACCAGCTGTGTGTATTACATTGTATAAACATTTTCTAACTTACAGAAAGATTTCTTACAAAAAAAAGAATAACTATAAATCTTCCCTAAATAAAAGATAAGGCTGTAATGAAAAGAAGTCAACTAAAGTTACTCACTTTTTAGGTAATTATTTATGAATATTAGAAAGGGGATAGATATGCTGGTGAAAATCATTCTATTTTGCTATACTATTGGTGTGGTATGAAGGATGTATGTTAATGACACTTTGCCATACCAGAATCTTCAAGGCAAAAAGCAGAAAGAAATGACTGATTGAAATTTGTGGTTGATCACAGGGGAGACATTCATATTTGTAAGTTTCCATTAAGGTAGACAGAAATTATGCGCACGTAGAGAGTAAATAGGTTGCATGCAAACAGATGTTTGGGAGTTGTAGGCATTAAAGTTTCAAACAGAAAATGATGTTATCAATGTTACTAACTAGGAAAATTTACATGTTTCTCTATTTCATTAAAAATTAATTCATAAAATAACTGTACACTACTTGCTTTCCTTTGATATTACGTTTACAAAAAATGTTTTTGTTTTGTTTTAGAAATAATCTGAGATGATGTTTTGCATACTCATTGATTTAGAAATAAGTTAAGCCTAATTACTTTGTAAGATTTTTTTCATAAGATATATTCTTACTATGTTTAGTATGTATAATTTGCAAAGGAAGGGGGACAGGTGGTAGAAGCAGGAGTTTCTTCTAAAATTAGTAAAAATGTTTAGGTATTAACTATGATGACATGTTACAGAAAGAGCACTGGATTGGGAATCAGAACACCAAGGTTCTGGTCCCAATTCTCTTACCTCCTATATGACTTTAGAAAAAAAAATCAGTTAAACATCCAGAGAATCATTTTTCTCAAATGTAAAACAAGAGTGGGTAAAAGGTACAATAAAATATTTTATCTAGTCCAACAAATTACAATTTCTAGGGAAAAACATAAGATTCTTGAGAGACTTCTACATTAACCCTCACTTGGTTCCAAGGTCACATTATACTTTATGGCCATCTGGAAACATTCTTGTGGCTCTAAGCCTTAAAACTAAATGAATACAGGGTAACTCTATGCCTAACAAATCACAGCCTTATCTCTAAATTTTTCAGAAACATTTACTGAATTAATAACTATATATTGTACTTTATTCATTATTGATTTATTCAATAAGGATTCATTGATTTCCTTTTTTGTTAGGCCCAGTGCTGGACACTGTGCTGTGACAAAAACAGACTTATTAAAGACAGATTTAGTTTCTCTCCACATAGAGTATATGCTTTATGTATTTTATCTTAATCTCTTCCATTATACATAATAATATTAATAATTTGGATGTATTAGTAATTACTGGGTTTCAAGGCCCTGTATGAAGTGTTTCACATATATTATACACTTTAGCTTTTACAATATTCCTATGAAGAATACTTTCATTTGGCAAAATACGGCCCATAGCCCAAATATGACCTTCCCCATATTTTTATGAATAAAATTTTATTGGACTATAGCCACATCCTTTCATTAAGAATCTTCTATGGCTGGTTTTTCTTTTTTTATTTATTTATTTATTTTTGCTAATGTGGCAGAGTTAAATAATTGTAGAAGAGATCACATCACCCACAAAATGAAAATATTTATTACTATCTGGCCTTTCACAGAAAATTTTACCAAACACTGTTTGAGACTGATTCAGAAAGAAAAAGCCACCACTTATTCTGTTGACCAAATAACCTGATATTTCTGTCTCATCATGATTGCATTCTCTAAATATAAGAGTATAGCTAGAGTAAGGATAAGTCAACTAAAGTTACTCCTTTATTACGTAATTATATATGAATGTAAGAAATATGACGAGCTAGCAAAATAATAAAATTAATGTTAATATTAATAGTATGAATGGGGCTGGGCGCGGTGGCTCACGCCTGTAATCCCAGCACTTCGGGAGGCCAAGGTGGGCGGATCACGAGGTCGGGAGATCGAGACCATCCTAGCTAACACGGTGAAACCCCGTCTCTACTAAAAATACAAAAAATTAGCCAGGCATGGTGGCGGGCACCTGTAGTCCCAGCTATTTGGGAGGCTGAGGCAGGAGAATGGCGTGAACCCAGGAGGCAGAGCTTGCAGTGACCCGAGATAACGCCACTGCACTCCAGCCTGGGCAACAGAGCGAGTCCGTCTCAGAAAAAAAAAAAAAGCCAGTATGAATGGATATACACCTTTGACTGACGAATGTCAAACAGTTTTGCACATCAAAATTGCTATTTTAAGGGTAAAGATATCAAAACCAAACATCAAACTTCAGTGTGGATTTTTATTATGTCAGTCTCTTAAGGTTGGCCTCTTCCCTCACACTTTACTGAGCTGTCAGTGAGGAGTATTTTATCAGCTTGTGAAGAAAAAGCAGCATTCTAAACAGGAATTATGGGTAACAAAGTTTTTTAAAAATAATGAGCAGCTTATTGCCATTAAGACAGGAAAATTACTGTAGCAGACAATCATCACTTGCAACTCTAATTGCAGGCATTCTAAATTGGCTGTTTAGGAAAACTACCTTTAGAATATTTAAGGACTGCTTTGAGATGTACAAATTGCAGATTGACAGTTTTTTTCTAGGAAACTAATCAATTATAAATAACTATAGCTTGATCAACAGTTCAAAATAAGAAGTTGCTACATTAACTTTAAAGAAGGTAAATATGTTTTATTCTATTGCCTGTACTTAATGTTTGTTTTAAAACAGTTCTGACATATGTCTAACAGAACTTAACTCATTGCCTTACTCAGAAAAAATGTCAGATTTAATGAGTGAATCATTTAATGAATGAGTTAACAAAACAGTTAAATAACTAGTAGAGAAAATTTGTAGAGTTAAAATCAGGTGCTTTATTAAAGGACTTACCTGAAACTACTTTTTTTATATTCTAAATCTTAATCTTTGGTGTCAAAATCTTCCTGACTCGTGTCACCCCTTACATTCCAGCCATTGCTTGAGTTTGGTGCTCTTCTTCTCAATGACCATAGCATACTGTGAATATATTATCATTTATTGAACTTTGTTATAATTATTTATATTAATATTTTGTCTCACCTCCTAGACTGTAACCTACTTTAAGGCCAAGGCCTATATTCCTAATAACTTAGCACCATATCTAATATCTAGCATTGTGCCACATAATGTGCATTAAAAGTTATTGAAAGAATTAATAACCAAACGCTTCTGGAATGAAGAGACTTTCCCCAAGCGGAGGGGCCAAGGAGAGAGTTCAAGCAAGAAGAGTATGCAACTACATGAAAATTGCAACTTCAGAATTTTTTCAGTATGTCAATAGTTCAGTATATCTAAAGTCCAAACTCATGAGGAAAATATCAAGTTGGAAAGATACTTGTAGTCTATACTATTGGTGCCCTGGGCAGAAGCCCTTATTTTCTTATGCCCCATTGTTATGGGTTGAATTGCACCTCCCAAAAAGGTATGTTGGGGTCCTACCCCAGGTATCTATAAATATGACTTTATATGGAAATAAAGTCTTTGAAGATGTAATCAAATCAAGATGAATCTATTAGGGCAAACTCAAATCCAATATGACCAATGTCCCTGTAACAATAAAGAAATTTGGACACCGATAAGGGAAATGCCATGTGACAATAGAAACACACGCAAGAAGACAACTATGTGACAACAGCGGCAGGTATTGAAGTGTTGCAGCTGCAAACCAATGACCACCAAGAATTACTAGCAAACACCAGAGGCCAGAACTGGCAAGAAAGAATTCTCCCTTACTAGTTCCAAAGGGAACATGGCCCTAATGATACACTTATTTTGGACTTTTAGCCTCCATAACTGTGAGACAATAAATTTCTGTTGTTGTAAGCCACATACATGTATGGTATTTTGTTATGGTAGCCCTAGGACTCTAATACACACATTAGCCATTGGCTGTGAACAGCTTACAGCTGTATCCTTCTCAGAAGAATTTCCTCAACCTGACAAGTGTCTCAAAGTTGGATAACTCTGGTGCTATTTTTACGCCAAGTTCCTTATGGGATCAGGCTGAGGCTAGACTGAGAGCACATCTCTGTTAAGCTTCTTTCCTTCCCTGTCCTGCTTGCCTCCATTCCTCAGATGTTTTTCCTGAAAGTATTCCCTCGATAAAAACTTACATAAGAATCCCCACCATATACTCTGCTTTTAGGGAATCTACACTAAAACAATGCCTATGATATTGAATCTTCTGTATGTTTAAGAAACTAAGACAGTATTCTATAAGTTGACCACATGCACAAGTTTGTCTTAGATGCTTGATTTGTTCCTGCTGTGCTACCAAATTATTAATAAGTCCTCCTTTCATTCTCAAGAATTTGAATTATAAATCTTGTAATCACCCTGAATAAAACTATACAAAATGACTGAAGATGCTTAAGCAGAGAAGTAATGTGATTTGACTTTTGTTCTAGAATTGATGGATTCAAGGGAGTTCAGTCTAAGGCTCAAAAATCTCGTTAAGAGTCTATTGAAATAGCCCAGACATGAGAGGCTATGATAGATAAAGGAAGGAAGGAAAATACTGAGTTGACAAAGGTTGCTGACTAATAAATGTGAGGAAGAGTAAGTCAATAGGGATGCCTAATTTCTTTTTAATCTGAAAGTTCAAGAAAAAATAATGATTTTGGAAATAGGGAAGAAGTAAGTTGTACTTGGTCACGAGTTGGAGATTCCTATTGGACATCCAGATGGATAAGCCAAGTAGCTTAAGCAATAAGCCTTAGAAGAAAATAGATATGTGTGGGTAATTAGTGTGAAGACTTTTCCCTACCTTCATCCTCCTGTATAGCTGTAGTACAGTCTTTATGTTTCTTTTAGAAGTCCTTTTATCTAATAAAAAAAGTCTAGCAGATACTCCTTTAATTATTCTGGAGTCTAAAGAAGATGGTAATCATGCTCTTGTCTTCACCTTTACCCTAAGACTTCTTGTATTTACAGTTACCCTAACTCCCTGGATTTGATCCTTGCCTTAAAGCCTTTTCGTATTTGGGGAGCATTTGCTGGCTGAAAAAATTATCTGAGCTCCTTACAGTTTCTCTAAATTTTGCTTGAAATTGAAAAAAAAATTGTTTACTTTTCTTCTCTCACATTTTATTTTTAGAAGCTAGGAAAAAACTGAAAATACATCCAATAATCTGCCCAGAAATCTTCCCAGCTAATCAAGTGTTTATATGCATTTATAATTTCCACATTACCGCAAGAAACAGCATTACCAAATTTTCTCTCACTATATAATAAGTACATCTTTTCCTCCAGTTTTCTATAGCATTATCTTGACTTTCTTTTGTACCCTCACTAATAGCCTCCTCAAGGCCTGCAGGTCCTGCCTACTCACTGCCTGATCACCAAAACAATATCAGCACCCAACTTCCAGGTACCAAATTCTGTTCTAGTTATCTATTGATGCATAAAAGACCACCCCAAATTTAGTGACATAAACAACCATACCACTATGCTCATGGAAGTAAGATGTATTTTTGAATATGTTTTACATAATGAAATTCATACAGCCCCTGATCCTTAAGAACCATATTCATGTACTCCACAAAAATGACTGGGTATTGTTAACAGAGAGAGATTCCTGGGCTAGGTAAATCAGTGGCTTCACAAGTCTGAAGGCTGCTTTTGGCTGTAGCTTGTGTCTTTGCATCTGTGACTTATCCTTAGAAAACAGAATTTAATCATCAGCAAGAAAAACTGAAATCTGAGTTGCTAACATGTAGAACATGCTCCTGCTACAAAATTCTGCTTCCCTACTATAGTTAATTTTTTGCTTAATCTCACTAAATTGTTTTATAGTTCAAAGTTACACACAGTTATAATTAAAATCCTATAAAAACATCCATCATTCTTCATGATTTCTAGTACTATTTATGCATACATAGGCAAGAATATCCACAGACATAGCAGACTGGGCATTTTTTTAAAGTGCTGGTAAAAGAGAAAGAGAATGCTAAGGAAATATTAGCCATTTTCCTTCTTTCATTTACATTTTGTATTAGTTCTGACATGTTCTGTGTACTACATAGTATAAACTAAGCATTTGAATTCAATTGGTTGAAAGTATTGACATTCATTAGGAAAAATCAGAATTTAGGTAATTAAATGTTGAGCATCTTCCAAAACATTCTCTTCTACCCTCTGGCTGCAAAAGAATAAACTTGAAAGAAACACTGCAATTAGTTCTCTTCTTTCACTGTGGTGCTGAAAATCGGCACACATTTTATAATAAAACGGGATCAATTTTTTTAAGGTTATACAATTTTGGAGATTTTTCTTCAGTCCCTTTATATTTTAATTAATCCATTCTGTCATTGTATTTAAAAAGTTACTTCATAATTAAGGAAATATCTTTTTGTTAAAAAAAATTACCCTAGATAAAATAATGAAATTCTATACTCCATTTTTTTTGTGTTTTAACACTGAATCACTTTTCTGCTTATCCTATTTGCTAGGACACAACACACATTGCAGATATTACAAATAAAATCTGAAAAAGAGGGAACAAGTTTAAGCAACATTATCTTTTATCTCATCAACTGAAATCCGATGAATTTAGAAACTGTAATGTTGGTTCTTAGGCCCATGGTTATTCAAAGAAAATCTATCAATTATTAAGAAGCTTTTTTAGATTTTTTGTTTTTGTTTTTGTTTTTTTGAGATGAAGTTTCACTCTTGTCACCCAGGCTGGAATGCAATGGCACAATCTCAGCTCACTGAAACCTCCGCGTTCCGGGTTCAAGCAATTCTCCTGCCTCAGCCTCCCGAGTAGCTGGGATTACAAGCGCCCGCCATCACGCCCAGCTAATTTTTGTATTTTTTTTTTTTTTAGTAGAGATGGGTTTTCACCATGTTGGCCAGGCTGGTCTCAAACTCCTGACATCAGGTGATCCACCGGCCCCAGCCTCCCAAAGTACTGGGATTACAGGTGTAAGCCACTGTGCCCAGCCTATTAAGAAATTTTAGATAAAGCTGGAAACCTTCTATATACTTCCACTTTAAAATTAGCTCATCACTAATAAGTACCTAAAATATTACATCCTATTAAACAAAAATTAACTATTTTGATTCATCACTTTCTCCTTCAAAATAAATATTTAGATTTAATGTCTGTTGATTATTTTTTAAATAACAAGTTTTTAAAATTCATAATATGCTTATTTTTACAGACACAAAATGAAGTGGAATATTAAGGCCTGTGCCAAAATCTATTTTTTAGTTTTCATTTTCTGTATATTTCACCGGAAAAAGATTTGACCTAAGTCTTATTTCACTTTAGTCACTTTTTGATATTTTAAGAATATCCTATTATCTGCTTAAAGTCACCTTCTATACCATAACCAGTGCTTAGATGATTTAATATTGCCAGAAACAATAAAACTGTGTTAAAACTTAAAATATATCATGTTTTCTTGTATTTTCAAGTTTAATACACCTTTCTATCCATTATGGAGAAATTGAAACTGTTGGGTTTTTCAACATTGTTATTTAATATGCTAATTTCTAACACCTAAAAACTTATAAATCTAAACTATAATATGTAAGTTATATAGTTGTACCCATGCCAAGGAAAAAAACCCATTATCTAAAAGCTTCCGTAACTTTATAACACTTACATGGTCCAGAAACCACATGAATGTTTTAAATTTTGTCCAAAGTAGCCTTTCCTGATTAAACTAAAACAGATATGAAGAACGCTTTTCCTCTTCATGTCATCTGAAATTATCTGTAGAAGTTTCATTTCTTTTGCTGAGGTCTTAATTACTATCAAGTTGGAAAGACTTCAGATAACAACACCCTTATATGACGTCAACTGTTTATAGATTTAAAATGTATTAATTTTAGATTTCATAAAAGCCTTATTTTTTCCCAAAGAAAAAGAGAGTGTATTTTTCTTGGAATCCTGGAGAGGGGTGTTCAGAAAAGAAGTGTCTGAATTGTAGAAACCAGAGTAGAGTTCAGAGGCTGAAAGATCCAAAGGCAACATTTTTTCTACCTGAGCGTTTGGTTTAAGGTAAGTCGTGTTTTGATACACAGGGTGTGACCTTGAAATCAGAAGCTAGAAAATCAAGTGTAAAGTTCCTGACTTTCTTCATGCAATGCAGGAGGAATACTTTCTTTTGATCCTTCCTGTAAACTAAAATAGAAATAAACAGCTATTGTTTGCTCTGAGATATCCACTTAAAATCCTCACCACTGCAACAATGGGCAGCTCTGCATGAACAAGGTGAAGAAAAGAGTATTCAGCGTCATGGCTAGGCTCTTTATCTTTCTAATGATTGAAACACTCTATGTTGTTTTTTTCTTTATCAATCTCGATTTTCATCTTCACTCTAACCCACAAAGTTCTGAGTGCCTAGAAAAGGTAGAGAAAAAAGGCAAACACAACTCTCAGATTGTGGGCTGGGGCAACCAGGAAATGGGAATGGCATCAACGAAAAGGAAAATTAGAAGGATAGGTTTCTGGGGGGGGGATGGAGTTTCACCAAGGTAATAAATTCACTTTCATGCAGGCTGAGTTTGTGGTGTCATTGTGACATTCCTGGGAGAGATTATCATTGAAATTCTCCAGTAACAGCATCATTGACAAAAGTCAGGTTAAGTACAGAAGATGGAGGCATCATCTTCGGTAAAAAGATGGCCAATTTGGTACCTAAGAGGGAAAAAAAATGATAACTTTTTTCCCCTGTTACTAAAATTATCAAATCACCTTGTCAGACTTCATTGGTCTTTATGTTTTCAGATTTTGGTATCTATCATCTTATTTTCCTGATGTAGTGAGATTTGGCATCCTTAATCTTTTACACTTGTTTCTGTCTTTTTTTTTTCCTTTGGAATTCCAACTTCTCTAAAGTTTTAAGATGGTTTTCACTGTGGATATTTACATGTGCCAATAAATTCCCATTGCTTATATGAAAAAAAATATGAAAGAGAGAGAAAAAGAAAGAGGAAGGGAGGAAGGAAGGGAGGAAGGAAGGAAGGAAGGAAGGAAGGAAGGAAGGAAGGAAGGGAGGGAGGGAGGGACCAATCTTGTCCTAAACAAAATTATACAGGTCAACAAATAGTATGTTTTTTCATCTTGCATATGGCTCTAACCACTCCTTCCCTAATCGCTTACCCCTTCCAGGTATCAATCCCGCCCACCTTCCCTATATAATGTTGCCTGTTGCATTGTAAATTTAAGTCAAATTCTTACTTCTTTTCTTAATATGTATCTAAGCCTTTATCTCTAATTTTAAAATCAAAGGTTTTACTTTCCTCTTGGGAATGACAGGAAAAGTTGTTGGATTTTTTTATCTCCCTGAAGTCAGGTATGTCTACTTCCTCAACATATACTGAAGACTGCTCTCAGAGGGTCTATAACTCAAATCAGTGATTTTACTTCAGATGGTAAAAGCCTATATCCTGGGAAAATAACTTTACATTCATTACCTATTTTTTTAAACCATAAATGGCCATTAGCTCTACCTTCTCCATAATTTTCTTCCTTCACAATGGGATTTCTACAGCAGAAATGGAAAGAGAGGCTAGGCATGGTGGCTCATGCCTGTAATCCCAGCACTTTGGGAGGCTGAGGAGGGTGGATCACATGAGATCAGGAGTTTGAGACCAGCCTGGCCAATATGGTGAAACTCTGTCTCTACTAAAAGTACAAAAATCAGCTGGGCATGTGGCGGCACTTGTAATCCCAGCTACCCAGGATGCTGAAGGAGGAGAATCACTTGAACCTAGGAGGTGGAGATTGCAGTAAGCTGAGGTCACACCACTGCACTCCAGCCTGGGAAACAGAGCAAGACCCTGTCTGGGAAAAAAAAAAAAAAAAAGAAGAGACAAGACAAGAAAAGAAAAAGAAGGAAATGCAAAGAGAAAGGAAAAAAACTTCAGCTTTTGAGTTTCTGAAAAGACACTAAAAACCTGCTGTGTTTGAGCAATAGGGATTTTGTATCTCACACTCCTGGAGTTTCAAAAGCCAAGTTTATGCTGATGCTATGCTACAAGAATATAAAATTAAGGTTTTTTTCAATAACCATTTCAATAAATTTGCTCGAGTTTATAATAATCATACAGATTAAAAATACCAAAAAAATTATGCAGAATCAGTAATACAGAGTATAATATAGAATATAAAATATAATAAACTAACAAAAATATAATAATAATCTATACTTCTTTAGTAGTCCTCCACACTCAAATTTTTCTACATGATTTAAGTTCCTCTCTACACAGTAAATGAACAGTATTCTGGTTTTTTCATCCGGTGAGTGAGATATTCTCTCACATCTTAAGTTTCTATTATTATATTTAAATTATTTACCTTAAATGAACTTAAAGATGTCTTTAATCAAATACTCTGTTTATCTTTGTTAGTCAAAATGTATACAAGATACTATCACAGAACTCCATAGTTCTTCTAGGCAATGATAGTAAGAAAACTAGGAATCTGTCAGAGACAGAATGTCTTAGAATGTCTTTCTTTTTCTTTTCCTTCAGAAGATTGTCTTCCTAGTGGGACTTAGTCAGGAAAGCAGTTTCTTTGCATCATACAAATGATAACGGGGTTCCCTAAGGAGCTGATTTAAAGAAAAGAAAAAATTAAAAATTAAAAAATAACACACAACAAAATCTGAGAAATTTGTTATTGGTGACCCAAGTGGTCAGGTGCCCTGGTGGCATGAGTAGTTTGAGAAGTATCCTTGGGTCATATGGCCTTAATATAAAAGCAAATGACACAAATAAAGACAGTGCACTAAACAGGAAGAAGGTAAGATCATCTTAACACAAACTGATCCCAGCACAGAAAAAATAGCAGCACAGAAAAACAATGGTATGGAACAAATAAACACTGCTATATATTGAGCATTACTACTTGCCAGATACAGTGATAAGCACATGTGTTCACTTAATTACAAACTAATTGTCTATTTCTGAAGGTAGATGTAAGGATAGGTTCATTACCTTCTAAATGAGTGGGTATCTGAGAGCACACATTCACAAGACAGGAATAAAACAAGAGCAAGCTTTAATACTACATCCCATCTGCCCTGGACCCAGTATGGAACAGTGGGGTGGATCAATAGAAGCTATAAATGTTCATCACTCCAGGAAGTGGATGGCATACACTGATGCCAGAGAATGGAGTGGGCACTAAGCCAGAGGATTGCAGGATCCCAAGGAAATAGGGCCTTACCTTGCTGAGTCAGGTGAGGCACAGCAACTCAGACTAGGCACATATTCTGTTGACTCACATTGCCCTAAATAGATGACTATAGGACAATAGTTTTCAGCCCAGAGGGATTCTGCCACCAGAGAGGATGTTTGGCAATGTCTGGAGACATATTTGGTTGTCACAGGGTAAGAGGAGGGAGGTGAAGTTACTGGCATTTAGTGAATAGATGCCAGGGATGAAGCTAAATATTATGTAATGCACAGAACATTCCCCTCAACAAAGAACTACCTGAAGCAGAATGTCAGCAGTGCAGTTCCTGAGGTAGAGCCTCATTTTTACAGGGCTGAGTGCAGTTCAGCCCTTGAGGACAGTCAGTCACCAAGGGCTAAGGTACTCATGGCAATTAATATTTGCAAGAAAAAAAACACCCCATCAAAAAGTGGGCAAAGGATATGAACAGACATTTCTCAAAAGAAGACATTTATGTGGCCAACAAAGATATGAAAAAAAAGCACATCATCACTGCTCATTAGAGAAATGCAAATCAAAACCACAATGAGACACCATCTCACACCAGTTAGAATGACGATCATTAAAAAGTCAGGAAACAACAGATGTTGGAGAGGATGTGGAGAAACAGAAACACTTTTACACTGCTGGTGGCAATGGAAATTAGTTCAACCATTGTAGAAGACAGTTGTGGCAAGTTCTCAAAAATTTAGAATCAGAAATACCATTAGACCCAGCAATTTCATTACTGGGTATAAACCCAAAGGATTATAAATCATTCTACTATAAAAACACATGTTCATGTATGTTTATTGCAGCACTGTTGACGATAGCAAAG
The DNA here is from genome assembly GCF_000001405.40 of Homo sapiens. Taxonomy (NCBI): domain Eukaryota; kingdom Metazoa; phylum Chordata; class Mammalia; order Primates; family Hominidae; genus Homo; species Homo sapiens. The sequence goes on from NC_000005.10 coordinate 86,597,574, forward strand.
ACTTGGAACCAACCCAAATGCCCATCAGTGATAGACTGGATGAAGAAAATGTGGCACATATACACCATGGAATACTATACAGCCATAAAGAAAGGATGAGTTCATGTCCTTTGCAGGGACATGGATGAAGCTGGAAATCATCATTCTCAGCAAACTAACACAGGAAAAGAAAACCAAACACTGCATGTTCTCACTCATAGTGGGAGTTGAACAATGAGAACACCTGGACACAGGGAGGGGAACATCACACACTGGGGCCTGTTGGGAGGTGGGGGGCTAGGAGAGGGATAGCATTAGGAGAAATACCTCATGTAAATGATGGGTTGACGGGTACAGCAAACCACCACGGCACATATATACCTAGGCAACAAACCTGCATGTTATGCACATGTATCCGAGAACTTAAAGCATAATAAGAAAATGTTTTTGTTTATATATATATATATGATATAAAAAAGGATATATATATATCCTTTATAATATATTGCAAAAAATAAACATTGGGTTACTGAAATGTTCTGTATCTTAATTGTGGTGTGGGTTAGTAGTTATATAGAGTTGTCAAATTCATTGACTGGTGTACTGAAAATACGTGTATGTTTTATTGCATGTAAATTATACCTCGATAAAGTTAATTTTAAAAACTAAGTGGGGAAGGCTTCAAGATGGCTTCCACTAAGAAGAGCCAAAATAGTGGGTAGAAAATCACACTTGGAATAGATCATCTCAAAGAAAACACTGGAATTCAATAGAAAGGTGACCGGAAATACCTAAAGTAAAGAAGGAAAAGAAAGTCAGGCAGCCTGCTTGGCCAGGAACAGCTGGAAGCCAAGAGAGACTCCCTAATATGGGGAAAGGGTAAGTAAGAGGCGCTGAGTGGTTCATATTCCAACCATGAACTCCTGCAATCCTAGGCACTGGAGAGCTCCTCAGCCCTCATGGGCCCTGAAACGAATACAGGGAGATGCCAAGAGATTGTGCAAGCGCACTGCTCCATGAAGGAAGCTCACACTGCCACCACTGTAGCTCAAAGACTAACCTAGCTGACATCCCAGTTGCCAGCAAACCTTCATCACAGTCACCATTAATAACTGCACCATAAGCCACCATGAAAATTACAAATATCACTGATGCTATTTACAGCTGAATAAATTATAGAGAGACTACACTACTTCAGGTGCCCAGAATGAAAGCCATAGTGTCCAACAACTGCAGAATATACATTATTCTCATCAGTACATGGAACATTCTCCAGGACAGACTATATGTTAGGCCACAAAACAAGTCTCATTAAGTTTTTAAAAATCAAAATTATATCAAGTGTCTTCTCAGACTACAAGGGAATAAAACTGGAAATCAATACCAACAGGAACTTTGGAAATCATACAAACACATGGAAATTAAAAAAAAAAAACATGCTTATGAATAATCATGGTTCAATGAAGAAATTAGCGTGGAAATCAAAAAATCTCTTGAGAGAAATGAAAATGGAAACACGGCTTATTAAAATCTATGGGACACAGCAAAAGTAGTTTGTAGCAATAAATGCCTACATCAAAAACGTACAAAGATTTCTGATGTAGTTTGCTTATGTCCAAATCTCATGTTGAATTCTAATCCCCAGTATTGGAGATGGGGCCTGGTGGGAGATGATTAGATCATGGGGGTGGATTTCTCATGAATGATTTAGCACCATCCTCTTGATTCCATCCTCGTGATAATGAGTGAGTTCTCACAAGATCTAGTTGTTTAAAAGTGTGTGGCTCCTCCCCGCCATCTCTTGCACCTGCTCTGGCTATGTGACATGTGTGCTCCTCCTTTGCCTTCTGCTATGATTGTAAGTTTCCTGAGGCCTCTACAGAGGTCAAGTAGTTACCAGCATTGTGCTTCCTGTACAGCCTGCTGAACCATAAACCAATTAAACCTTTCTTCTTTAGGATAAACTCTTGAAAACATAAAACCTACAAAGATTGAATCAGGAATAAATAGAAAATCCAAACAGACCAATAATGAGCAGCAAGAGTGGAGCAGTAATGAAAAGTCCCCCAACAAAGGAAAGCCCAGGACCCCACAGATTCACTGCCAAATTCTACCAAGTATATAGGAGAACTAACACCAATCCTCCTTAAACAATTCCAAAAAAATTGAATAGGAGAGAATTCTCACTATCTCATTTACACAACCAGCATTACCCTTATACCAAAACCAGAAGAGGACACAACAACAATAAAAAGAGAACTATAGGCCAATATCCCTGATGAATATAGATAGAAAATCCTCCACAAAATACTGGCAAATCAAATCCAACAGTGCATCAAAAAGATAATATCCCATGATCAAGTGGGATTTATACCGGAGATACAAGGATGGTTTAACATACACAAATCAATAAACGTGATACATCATATCAACAGAACAAAGGACAAAATCATGGGATATTCTCAATAAATGCAGAAAATCATTTAATAGAATTAACATCCCTTTAGATAAAAACTTTCAACAGACTAGGCATAGATGGAACATGTCTCAAAATAATAGAGTCCATGTATGACAAACCCACAGCTAATATCACACTGAATGGGCAAAAGTAGAAAGCCTTTTCTATAAGAACTTGAGCAAGACAAGTATGTCAACTTTCACCACTCTTATTCAATATAGTACTGGAAGTTCTAGCCATTCCAATCAGGCCAGAGAAAGAAAGAAAGGCATCTAAGTTGGGAAAAATGGAAGTTGAGTTGTCCCTCTTTGCAAATAACATGTATTTTACTTAGAAAACTCAAAAGACTCCACCAGAAAACACTTTGGAGCTGATAAACAAATTCAGTGAAGTTGCAGGATACAAAATCAACCTACAAAAATCGGTCTTGTTTCTACATGCCAATAAAGAAATGGCTAAAAAAGAAATCAAGAAGAAAATCCCATTTATAATAACTGTTAAAAATAAAATACTTAGGAATAAATTTAACCAAAGAGGTAGAAGATCTCTACAAGGAAAATTACAAAACACTGATGAAAGAAATTGTAGATGACACAAACAAATGGAAACACATCCCATGATCATAGATCAGAAGGATTAATATTGTTAAAATGACCATAATCCCCAGTGCAATACACAGATTCAATACAATTCCCATCAAAATACCAACATCATTTTTCACAGAAATTGAAAAATCAACTCTAAAATTTGCATAAAACCAAAAAAGAGCCAGAGTAGCCAAAGCAATTCCAAGCAAAAAGATCAAAGCTGGAAGCATCACACTACCTGACTTCAAATTATATTACAAGCCTATAGCAACCAAGACAGTATGGTATCAGTATAAAAATAGACAGATAGACCAATGGAACAGAATAGAGATCACAGAAATAAATTCACATATTTATAGCCAACTGATATCCAACAAAGATGCCAAGAACATACACTGGGGAAAGGACACCCTATTCAATAAATGGTGCTAGAAAATTGAATATTCATATGCAGAAGAATGAAACTGGATTCCTATTTCTCACTGTATACAAAAATCAACTCAAGATGGATTAAAGACTTAAACAAAAGACCCAAAACTATAAAACTACTAGACGAAAACATAGAGAAAACAGTTCAAGACATAGGTCTAGGCAAATATTTTATGGCTGAGACCTCAAAAGCACAGACAACTGAAACAAAAATAGACAATTGGGCTTCTATTAAACTAGAAATCTTTTGCACAGCAAAAGGAACAAGAGTAAAGAGACAATCTGTTGACTTGGAGGAAAGATTTGCAAACTATTCATCTAACAAGGGACTAATATCTAGAATTTATAAGGAACTCAAAACAATGTTTTTAAAAAATCCCATTAAAAAGTGGGCAAAGCACATGGATAGACAATTCTCAAAAGACAGAAATATCAGTGACAAACAGGTAAACGAAAAAAATGCTCATTACCACTAATTATCAGGGAAATGAAAATCAAAACCACAATGAGATATCACCTCACACCTGTTAGAATAACTATTATAAAAAGACAAAAATAACAGATGCCTGTAAGAATGTGGAGAAAAGGGAACTCTTACATACTATTGGTGCAAACGTAAATTAGTACCACTTTTATGGAAAACAGTATGGAGAGCTCTCAGAAAGCTAAAAATAGAACTGTCATACAATCCAGCAATCCTACTATTGGGTATTTATCCAAAGGAAAAGAAATCAATATATCAAAGGGATACCTGAACTCACACGTTTATCACAGCACTATTAACAGTAGCAAAGAGTCAACCTAAGTGTCCATCAGCACTAAGTGTCACATCAGATGAATGGATAAAGAAAATGTGACATGTAAACACAAAGGAATAGTATTCAGCCATAAAAAATGAAATCGCATCATTTGCAGCAACACAGATGGAACTGGCAGTCATTACGTTAAGTGAAATAACACAGGCACAGAAAGACAAATACCTCATGCTCCCCCTCATCTGCGGGAACTAAGAAACTTAATCTGAAGGACATAGAGAATAGAATGGTAGATAATAGAGGCATCGGAGGATGTGAGGGCGGGAGAGGGAAATGAAGAGAAGTTGGTGAAATGGTACTCACAGTTAGATAGAAGGAAAAAATTCTAACATTCAGTAGTTGACTAGGATGACTATAGTTAGCAATAATATATTCTACATTTCAAAATAGTGGAAGAAAGGACTTGAAGTGTTACCAACACGTAGAAATGATGAATACTTAAGCTTATAGATCACCCAAATACTCCAACCTTCTCATTATACCTTCTATGTATGTAAAAATTACTCACACGTACTCCATACATATGTAAAATATTGTGTCGTAATAAAAGAAAAAAAGTAACAATTTCACACTTAAAACATAGTATTTAATGTAAATTCAAATTGCCACATCATTCATTGTTTTCAGTGAACGGTCATTGATTGTCTTTATGCAGGGTACTTACGATAGATACATCAGTAATCAGATAAAAACCTAACCCCTGGCCCTCTGAGAGATTACATTCTAATAATGAATCAGCTTTTTAAAAAATATTTTGGACCTACCTACTTCATTGGCCAATCTAGACAATGAAGCAAAAAGAGAAAATTAATTAAAAAGTGGCATGGAGGAGGATACCTCCAAAGGGGATTATTATAGGGACATTTACTAATAGAACACTCTAAAGCATCAAATATTTCAATTAACCCTCATAACAAGTCCATAAAGTGGGTAACATTATTGTCCCCACTTGAAAGATAGGGAAATGTTATGCAACTAGCCCAAAGCTAAATATGGTAGATCTTGGATTGAACCCATGTCAGTCTGATTCCAGGTTATAGTGTGTTCCTTGGAGTGTGCAACTCTGGGGAAATGTGTAGGAGCAAGAAAACCACAGTAGAATTATGAGGATTTTTCAGCCACTGTAACAAAGCCCCAAGATTATATTTAACCACCGGATATTAAATTCCTGTGGAGTCACTCCATAATACTCCAGCAAGAAATTAGAAAGTCTCTGAAGAAAACAGTATGTCTTAAACCAAGCTATTTCCAATTTCCTCTCAAGCACACAGAAATCCCATATTTCTCAGACCCCTGTCTTCTAGGTAGTAGTGTGTGAATCGAGTAGAGGACTCCAAAGAGACCCTAGAAGATGATGGCACTTAAATTATCACGTGGAAGATCACATGCTTAACATCTGATTCAGATTATGACATGAGTGAGAAATAAATTGTGTTAAGCCACTAAATTTGGGGATTGTATGTTACATTAGCTAGCTTCAATTATGTTGTCTGGCCCAGGCTCCATAAAGCATAGAAGAGAAAACTTGATAAATTACACTGCAACAACTTTCTATGTGAGGAAATTTATGATTTATGATTTATTAGTTGATTTACATGTTAATATTATTCCAGAAAACATTTGACGTGCCAAAGAAAGACACACACTATATAACAAGATAAAATAGATTTTAAATTGAGAAGTAAAGTGAAGCAAAGGTGAATTTAGAAAAGAAGATACAGCCAGGAGTAGGGTACACAAAATACATTCATCGTTTCTACTGAAGATGGATCGCATATTTGGCTCTAAGTTTTCTAGGAACCTAAAGAGGAAATCACAGTGAAGTTCATTATTAACAGTACCCATAGGCAAACAGGCAAAAAAGCAAGTCAGCTACTCGGAAGAAGCCTGTTTATTCTAGTCTAAGACCAGAGAGAAATTTTTCCTATGGGTCCTCATAAAAATGACACTGTGAAGTGTATTGAACCACATCCTTAGGAAAAAAATCCTCACAGTAAATCCATAAATGAGTTTTATAAGTCTGTTATTTATAAAAATCCCTTAGCACAAGTAGGAAAGAAGATGGCCAAGCACAATTCAGGGATAATAATACAGTTTTCGAATGCTGTTCAATGAGGGATGTGAAGAGAACTGGTAATTAAACCTAACCCACTTTGTGTAATAGTTTTATAATTAGCTGACATGTTTAAAACAACTCTTTGTTGAATGCAGTCATAATTTACACAAAGGGCACAGATGTTATTATCAAGTAAATTCCATTTTTTCAAAATTATAAGTCCAAACTGAAAAGCCAAACACAGAAACTGTTATAACACAAATACCTTTTGATGGACTATATGTATTAGTTCATTCTCACACTGCTATAAGAACATACCCAAGACTGTGTAATTTATAAAGGAAAGAGGTTTAATTGACTCACAGTTCCGTAGGGCTGGGGAGGCCACAGGAAACTTACAATCATGGCAGAAAGAGAAGCAAACACATCCTTCTTCACATGGCAGCAGCAAGGAGAAGTGCAGAGTGAAGGGGGGGGGTAAAACCCCTTATAAAACCATCCGATCTCATGAGAACTCACTATCACGAGAACAGCGTGGAGGTAACCACCCCAATGATTCAGTTACCTCCCACAGGGTCCCTCCCACAACACGTGGGGATTATGGGAACTACAGTTCAAGATGAGATTTGCATGGGGACACAGCCAAACCGTATCACTATTTTAACAATGTAGTTGCCAACAAACACATTGTTTAGAGGATCAGAGTGCCTCTCTGTAGTCTCACCCGAATAATAGAAATACAGCAGCAGCTTACATACATTGATCAATAGTATTGGACCTGGTTATAAATCATGATTTTCAGGGAGTTACTTGCACAATTGTTTATATTCAACATATAGAATACAAGAACGTTAGTTCTACTCTCAAATCTCTCCTATATTTATTTTGCTCCTACTCTGGAAAAAGTCTTTCTTTTTAGAACAATGCATCAAATTTATTATAAAAAACCCTTCATCATTTAAATTATGTTTCCCTAAAAAGAATAAATGAAGCTACTTAATCATTTGGTATTCTAGTTATAAAACAAAGCACGAGATACCATAGTAATTTCTTTTTTCTTTTTTTTAAGAGTCTCACTCTGTCGCCCAGGCTGGAGTGCAGTGGCGTGAGATCTCGGCTCACTCCAACCTCCACCTCCCGGGTTCAAGCAATTCTCCTGCCTCAGTCTCCCCAGTAACTGGGACTACAGGCGTGTGCCACCACACCTGGCTAATTTCTTGTATTTTTTTTGTTTTGTTTTTAGTAGAGACTGGGTTTCACCATGTTAGCCAGGATGGTCCCGATCTCCTGACCTCGTGATCCGCCCGCCTCCGCCTCCCAAAGTGCTGGGATTACAGGCGTGAGCCACCGCATCCTGCCTGTATTTTTAGTAGAGATGGGGTTCCACCATCTTGGCCAGGCTGGTCTTGAACTCCTGACCTCATGATCCACCCACCTTGGTCTCACAAAGTGCTGGGATTACAGGCGTGAGCCGCCACACCCCGCCCTACTGTAGCAATTTAACAAGACCTGGTCAAAGCAGTAACAAAGTGTCACAGCAAGTTAAGCTAAAATGGAGATGGAATATAAATATAACGAGACTTGGTGATTTTCAAATTGAGAAATATTAGTTTCTGTGTTTATCTTATAAATATGTATCTACCCATACTTGGTAATTCTCAATGACAAATGGTTGTATTATGAGATGATTCAAGAAAAGTGAACCATTTTTAAACCTAAATTAAGGTAAGACAAATAAGTTGGAATGAAAAACACGAAACACTTTTAAGGGAAAAAATGGTATCCAAAGGTAACGAGACGTTTTTTCACTTTGTTTTTTGTCTGTTGTTTGGTTTAGCTTCTGATATTCTAAATCATTTCACCTTCTCATACTCTCTTGGTACAAACTAAGTCTTGTCAAATCTCCTTGGAGTGGATTTGATATTTGGAAATACCCAGAAGTTATTTTGGAGCCGAGACTGTTGAATAAAGCCATCCTGTAGCATATATATTTTGAAACACTTGGGGAAAAAATAACATTTTTAAAATGTATCGTATAATTGAACATACTTCATTCTCTGACAATTTCTGTCTCCTTGGACATTAATTTATGCAGTTGTGCTAGGTGACAAGCAGAGGTGGATCATAAGGAGGCACTTTTTAGATAAAAACCACAAAGCATTAAAAATAAAACATTAGGTGTTGAAGTGAAGCGGGGGTGGTTACCTCCATGCTGTTCTCGTCATAGTGAGTTCTCATGAGATCTGATGGCTTTATAAGGGGTTTTACCCCCTTTCACTCTGCACTTCTCCTTGCTGCTTCCATGTGAAGGACAAACACACAAAAGTAAAATAATATTTTAATCATTAATTGCCTGATACATTTCTATAAGACAGTTTCCTATAGTTTTTTGTTGCATACCTTTTGATCACCCCTTCATGTGACAATTTTGCAATATCATTTTCTATGGAGAGACTATAAAGAAGATCCATTATTTCTCCTAGCAAGATAGATCAGACTTGGAGCAGGGGAAAGCAAGAAAGAGCCCTGTGGGGATGGATTAAAAATTGAGGTATTGATGAAAGATGTGATTTCTTTTTCTTTTTTATTTTTCCTTTTTTGTTTTTTTTGGTTTTTTTTTTTGAGACAGAGTCTTGCTCTGTTGCCAGGCTGGAGTGCAGTGGCACGATCTCAGCTCACTGCAACCTCTGCCTCCTGGGTTAAAGCGATTCTCCTGCCTCAGTCTCCCAAGTAGCTGGGACTACAGGCGCGTGCCACCACACCCATCTAATTTTTGTATTTTCAGTAGAGACGGGTTTCACCATGTTGGCCAGGATGGTCTCTATCTCTTGACCTCGTGATCCGTCCGCCTTGGCCTCCCAAAGTGCTGAGATAACAGGCATGAGCCACCGCGCCTGGCCAGATATGATTTCTAAAATGTGTATATGCATCTGCATTTTCATGTTTATGTACACGTATATGTTATGTGTACATACATAACTTCTAGGAAGCAAAGGCATCCTAGTAGCAGTGAACATGCAAAACACCCAGCCCTTGATCTTTATTACCATTTACCACTAACAAAAACCAATGAGCATTCTTCATAGAGATTCTGGTTCCCAGGACTGACATAAGGTAGGTATAAATAGGCCAGGAATATCTTGTTATGAAATAAAATAAGAAATATTAAAAAATAAAAAATGATGAGGACACATAACAAACACAGATGGAAGCTTGAAGGGGCTACCAAATCTGGAACACTGTAAGCACTAAAATATTTAAGTAGAGTATTGAATTATAAACCACTTAAAAATTCATTAGTGTTTACCAATAATAAATAGATTAAGTAAATATATAGAGTAGGAAGAAGGTCTTTTTCATATAGTTGAATGTAAAAGGACAGTTAGTAAATATGGAAGGAGTACTGGAGTTGGAAAATCATTATTTCACAACTATTATGGTAATAATCAGGAAATAATAATCAGTGGAGCCTATATCCAAAGGAAATTTTTGTGAGGAGTAAGATATTAGCATGGTCTTAACATGTCTTCCCGTGGGGTACTTATTAGTTGCAAGAGAGAAACAGTAATTGCACAGTGGAAAAGTCAAACAACATCTTGACTACATTGTGAACATTAATGTCACCAATGAGGAACAGATGGACATACTGTGCCTCTGCATGTGATGCCCTAAAATGACACGAGATCACCTATGCAGCATTTGCCCAAGAACACATAGTCTCAGTCTACTCCTAAGGAAACGCTGGACAAACACAAAATGAGGAATGTTCTGTGTTTTTCAAAATGTAGAGACGGGCTGTATTACTCAGACATGTTAGTTTCTTAAGAGACAAATAAAGGCTATGGAAATTGTATTAGTCTGTTTTCACACTGCTATAAAGAACTGCCCAAGACTGGGTCATTTATAAAGAAAAAAGATTTAATTGACTCACAGTTACACATGGCTAGGGAGGCCTCTGGAAACTTAAAGTAATGGCATAAGGGGAAGCAGACACATCTTACATGGCGGCAGGTGAGAGAGAGAAGAGCGGGTGAAGGAGGAACTGTCAAACACTTATAAAGCTATCAGATCTCATGAGAACTCACTCACTATCACGAGAACAACATGAAGGAAATGGTCCCCATAATCCAGTCACCTCCCTCCCTCGACATGTGGGGATTACAGGTCCCTCCCTCAAAACATGAGGATTACAATTCAAGATGAGATTTGGGTGGGGACACGGAGCAAAATCATATCAAAAATGCTCCAGCTTATAGAAGACTAAGGAGATAAAGAGATATAATGGCTAAATGCAGTATTTGTCTCTAGACATTATTAGTAGATCTGCTAACAAAACTGGAATATGCATAGATAAAAATATTATATCAGTATAAATTCATCAGGTTGATACTGCACTGTAGTTATATAAGAGAATAGCCCTATTCTTAGGAAATACAAACAGAAGTACTTAGGGGTCAAGTGGTACAATGTAAGTTAGGCTCAAACCACTCAGAAAAAAAAATAGGTATAGAGAAAGAAAAAGTACAAATGTTAAAGAAAATAAAATAAAGTTTTTTAAATAGGCAAATCTAGCTAAAGAATATATAAATGTTTCTTGTACTAATTTTATTTAAGCAACTTTATTTGTGCAAGTTTGAAATTATTTCCTAATATTTTAAAATAATTAAATTTTATTATTATATTTAAATATCTATACATTTCCATTAAGTATAAGTTAATATTTATAAGTTCATATATAAAAATAAGTATATTTTATACATTTTATATATATTCTAAATATATTAAATTATTTCCAAATCAATATAGTGTGAATGTTTGTCTCCTCTAAATCTCATGTTGACATATGGTTCTCAGTGTTGGAGGTGGGGCCTAATGAGAGGTGATTGGATGATATGGGCTGATCCCTCATGAATGGTTTAGCACTATCCCCTTAGGGATGTCAGTTCTTGCTCAGTTAGTTCACACAAGATCTGTATTTTTAGAAAAGTCTGGCACCTACCCTTTCTCTCTCTTTCTCTCATTTTTGTCATGTGATGGGCCTACTCTCCCTTTGCCTTCTGCCATAATTATAAGCTCCCTGAGGCCCTTACAAGAAGCAGATGCTGGTGCCATGTTTCCTGTACAGCCTACAGAACTGTAAGCCAATTAAGTCTCTTTTCTTTATAAATTACCCAGTTTCAGGTATTTCTTTATAGCAGAGCAAAAACGACCTAACGCACAAATATTTTTAAATAAAAATTTTTTTGTATAAATTTAGGGAGCATAAGTGCAGTTTTGATACATGGTTATATTGCATAGTGGTGAAGTCTGAGTTTAGTGTAACCATCACCTGAATAGTGTACATTACACACATTAAGTAATTTTTCATCCTTTACCCACTTCCCACATGTATGTTTTTAAGTTTCCAATGTCTATTATTCCACAATCTATGTCCATGTGTATATATTACTTAACTCCCACTTATAAGTGAAAACATGTGGCATTTGACTTTCTGTTTCTGAGTTATTTCACTTAAGATAATGGCCTCTAATTCCACTGATGTTGCTGCAAAGGATACGATTTTATTCTTTTAAAATAAATAAGTAGTATTCCTAAAGCATTCATTCATATATACATATGAATATACATATATATTCATATGTATATATATATATATATAGACACATTTTCATTATCCAATCACCCACTAATGGACACTTAGATTGATTCCCTCATCTTTGCTATTGTGAATAGTGCTGCGATAAACATATGAGCACAGGTATCTTTCTGAAATCATGATTTACTTTCCTTTCGTTAGATATTCAGTCGTGGGATTCCTGGATCAAATGGCAGTTCTACTTTTAGTTCTTTGAGAAACCTCCATAATGTTTTTCATAGAAGTTGTACTAATTTACATTTCCACCAACAGTGCATAAGCGTTCCTTTTCTCTGCATCCTCACTAATATCTGTTGTTGTTTGACTTTTTTAATAACAACAATTCTGACTGGTGTAAGGTAATATCCCACTGTGGTTTTAATTTGCATTTATCTGATGATTAGTAATGACCATTTTTTCATGTGCTTGTTGGTTATTTGTATGTCTTCTTTTGAAAAAAAAATGCCTATTTATGTCCTTTGCCCACTTTTGATGAGTTTTGGGAGTTTTGTCTTGTTGAGTTGTTTGAGTTCTTTGTAACTTTTGGATCTCAGGCTCCTAAGGGACGCATTGTTTGCAAATATTTTCTCCCAGTTTGCAAGTTGTCTGTTCACTCTATTGATTATTATTCATCGCAGTGCTGAAGCTTTTTAGTTTAATTAAGTCCCATTTGTCTTATTTTAGATTTGTTTCTTGTGCTTTTGAATTCTTAGTCATGAATTCTTTGCCAAGGCCAATGTGCAGAAGAGTTTTTCCAAAATTTTCTTCTAGTATTTTCATAGTTGGGGTCTTTTAAGTCTTTAACCTATTTTTTAGTTAATTTTTGTATATGATAAGAGATATGGGTCCAGTTTCATTCTTCCGCATATAGATATCCAATTTTCCCAGCACCATTTATTGAATAGGGTTTGATTTCCCTGGTGTATGTTTTTGTTGACTTTGTTGAAGATCAGTTGTCTGTAGTTATGTGGCTTCATTTCTGGGTTCTCTATTCTATTCCATTGATCTATCTATTTTTATCCAAGCACCATGCTGTTTTGGTTACTATAGGCTTGTAGTATAATTTGAAGTCAGAAAATATGACACCTTCAACTTTGTTCTTTTTGCTTAGGATTGCTTAGGCCATTCAGGCTCCCTTTTGGTTACCTATGAAATTTAGGATTGTGTTTTCTAATTCTGTGAAAAATTATGTTGCTAGTTTGACAGGGACTGCATTGAATCTGTATATTGCTTTGGGCAGTATGGTCATTTTAATAATATGAATTCTTCTGATCCATGAGCATGGGATGTGTTTCCACTTTTTTGTGTTGACTACAATGTCTTTCTTCAGTGTTTCATAATTTTATTTGAAACTTTCTTAATTAAATATATTCCTATGTATTCTATTCTTCTTAGAGCTATTGTAAATGGGATTCAGTTCTTGATTTACTTCTTGGCTTCTTGGCTTGATCATTATTGGTGTGTATGAGACACTGCTGATTTTTATATGCTGATTTTGTATCCTAAAACTTTACTGAATTCATTTATCAAGTATAGGAATCTTTTTAGGGTTTTCTAGGTATAACATTATATCATCAGAAAACAGAGATAATTTGATTTCTTATTTTCCAATTTGAATGCCTTTCATTTCTCTCTTTTCTGATTGCTCTGGCTAGGACTGCTAGTTCTGTGTTGAATAAGAGTGGTGAAAGGGGGCATTCTTGTCTTCTTCCAGACCTTAGAAAGAATGTTTTCAGCTTTTCTTCATTCATTATGATGTTACCTGTGGGTTTGTCATATATGGTTTTTATTATTTTGAGGTATGGTCCTTGTATTCCTAATTTGTTAAAGGTTTTTATCCTGAAGAGATACTGAATTTTATCAGATGCTTTTTCTGCATTGAGATGATCATGTGGTTTTTATTTTTAATTCTGTTTATGTGGTAAATCACATTTATTGATTTGCATATGTTGAACCATCTTTGAATTTCTGGAATAAATTCCACTTAATCTTGCTGTATTTTTTGATGTTCTATTGAATTCCATTTGCTAGTATGTTTTTGAGGATTGTCGCATCTATGATCATCAGGGATATTGGTGTGTGGTTTTCTTATTTTGTTGTGTCCTTGTTTAGCTTTGGTATCATGGTGATACTGGCTTCGTAGAATGAGTTAGGGAGAATTCCCTCCTTCTAAATTTTTAAGTAGAAATAATAACAAAAGGATAATCCAGGCATTTCTCACTCCCTTCTAGTAGTAGAAAAGCACCATAAATGTGGTAGGGTCTAGTATCCCCCTGCCAAAGAGATTCAACCCCAGGCCAGCTAAGTAGCTGAGAGAGGATAAGAATGAGGCAGCCAGCATGCAATTATCCCATTGCAATCTCAAGCCCTGGCAGATTTAACTTTTCTGAGGAAAATATTTCCAAAGGTGGATTTGATTAATGTTTGCAAAACCAATGACTTCAAGTCTCCTAGAAGACAATTTAGATGTGTTAGAAGCACAAGTTCAGAGCCCTGGTGTTAGTCAACGATCACAAGACCTGGCAGTCTGCCCTGCCATTCTACCACCCAGCCATGCTGTCTCTGGAACCTGAAGAACAGTCCAACTCTAATTCTCTCTGCAATCTGAGAGATCTGTTCAGCGTAAGGCAGCAGAAGATGAAGCTTTAAGTCATGAAGAGCCTACATACACTGTATTAGTGTGTTCTCATGCTGCTAATAAAGACATACCTGAGACTGGATAATTTCTAAAGAAAAGATGTTTCATTGACTCATAGTTCAGCATGGCTGAGGAGGCCTCAGGAAACTTACAATCATGGTGGAAGGCAAAGGAGAAGCAAGGCACCTTCTTCACAAGGCAGCAGGAAGGAGAAGTGCAAGCAGAGGAAATGCCAGATGCTTATAAAACCATCGGATCTCATGAGAACTCACTCACTATCAGGAGAATAGCATGGGGGAAACCACCCCCATGATTCAATGACCTCCCACCAGGTCCCTCCCACAACATATGGGGATTATGGGGATTACAATTCAAGATGACATTTGGGTGGGGACAGAGTGAAACCATATCTCACACACACATGCACACACACACACAATTGAATCCATATATAATCATGTATAAACTGAACTCTCACCTGCCTTCCCTTAGGCTATGAGCAACCCGTCTTCCAAGCAATTCATTTAGACCACGGTATGCAATGATTAGGAGCAGAAACTTTGAAATCAGATAAACCTTGGTTTAACTTCCAGTTTTGCTACTTATTAGCTGTTGATGCTCAAAGCAAGTTATTTAGACTCATTAGCCTCAATTGCTTCTTCCATAAAATAGTAATGATAACAATAGTAATAGCTCCTTCATAGGATTATTATGAAGATTAAATGAGATCTTATATGTAAAGTCTATGGTAAGAACTGGATGTTAGTTTTTATTAATGAATATTAAAAGTTTAAGTAGAATTAAGGACACAGTGAGCCACTGAAAAAATATGTATTTTGCACCAGGGACCACTTTGTTGAAGAAACACTGAACCACTTTCTATTATTATGAAGATTAAATGAGATCTTATATGTAAAGGCTATGGTAAGAACTGGGTGTTAGTTTTTATTAATGAATTTTAAAAGTTTAAGTAGAATTAAGAACACACTGAACCACTGAAAAAATATGTGTTTTGCACCAGGGACCACTTTGTTGAAGAAACACTGAACCACTTTGTATTGAATACATTATTTATCCATCTATTCATGAAACAAAAATTTATTGAGTACTTACTATATGAGAGGATAAAATGACAAAACACTGTCCTTTTTTTTAAAAAAAAAAAGCATATGGTAAGGAGATAGATACATACATAACTAATTACAATGCATGATATTACTAACATAAGAGTATTATAAATTAAATTCTAGGTGACCTTGAAGGAAAGATAAATTGATTTCTTTTAAGGGTTTTAGGAAGGCTTCTTAGAGAAAGTGACATGGATGTAGAATTTTGAAGTCAACAATAGGAAAAAGAGGAAGGAAGCGAGGGCATTTTATAAAGAAGAAACAATATAAAGAGTTAAACATATATTATAGTTTTTTGATCAGTAAGTAAGGATTTTTGCAAAACTTTCTCTTTCAGTGAGTCATCAATAAATCATTCAGAAGACTCACAGAATATTTCACAACCCTAATTTCTTCAGAAGAATCTCATTTTCTCCTTTTCCTGAAGCCAGGCTCCCCCTCAACCCTTTCCCCAACAAACATAAAATTTCAAATAGATGTTAACACAGAGCCCTGATTCTAATGCTACAGTAGCGAGAAGTTATAAAAACTTAAAAAGAAACTTGTTAACTTGAGTTTTGCAACATAGGATGGAAACATGTAATTTATTCACTAAACAATTTATTTTTTAAAAAAAACTTCAACCTAGTCCTTAAAAATCTAACATAGCAGCTGTTGAGAAAAATGACAAATATTGTACTTTAATTTTTGGATATACTGTTCTATACAATATTGAGAAAATGACAAATATTGTACTTTAGTTTTTGGATATACTGTTTTATATAACGGAATTTCAGTCTCTAAAGCCTCAAGTGGATCTAGAAAGTACATTGCTCATTCTTTGATATACACCCTACTCACTACTTAAAATAATTGGATTTTATTTTTAAGATATAATGCTGAAGTAAACCTCATGTCTCTAAAGACACTTTCTATTTTGTACCCATCAATTCATGAAATGTCTCATTTCTCTTTAAATGCACTTTATAGTGAAAGAGTATCATACTGAATCCAAAGTTGCTCTAGAATTATTCACATTTTTCTTGCCAGCTATTATGACATGAATATAAATTGTTAGGCTACTTGTATAAGAAAAAATAAAACATATCTGTTCCAGGTTTATACTCCCGTATAACAAACTACCCCAAAACTTAGTGACTCAAGGAAACAATTTACTATTTTCTCTTACAATTCTGGGGGCTAATGGGCTCAGTTGGGCAGTTCTTGTTTAACAAGCTTCATAAAGTTGCAGGCAAATATAGCTGTGGCTAAAGTCACCTGAAGGCACCTTTACAAATATATCTGATGCCTGGGCTGGGATGGCAAGAATAGCTGGGTGCTGGTAAGTCTGTCCCTTTCCCTGTCTCCCTCTCCCTACTTACCCTCTCCTTCTCCTTGTCCTTCTTCCCTCTTCTTCCCTCTCCCCTTCTGCACATAGCCTACCCCCAACCCCTGCCCCTGGTAATGTGGCTTCTCCATATAGTTAGTTTGGTTTTCCTCTTAGTCCTGAAAGTCTCTGGATAGTTAGACTTCTCACATGGTATTTGACTTCTCCCAAGAAAACATTCCAAGTTGCTAAAGAGAAGCTGCAAGGCTTTTGATGAGCTAGCCTCAGAAGTCTCAGAATGTCACTCTGTTGCATTCTATTGGTCAATCCGGTCACTAAGGTCAAGAAAAGGGATGTTAGACCCCACCACTCAATAGAAAGAATTTCCAAAAAATTGTGGCCATCTTTAATTTCCTACGATGCCTACACAAAAATGGAATATTGCTAGATTTATTTAAACTTTTTCTTCCTTCTTTAGTGAATTTGAAAGAGACCAAAATTAGCATAAAACTCCTAAACTCAGACTACATTCATTAGTTAACTAATTTATTAATTGCTTTCTACTTAGTAATTAAGAAAAAACCATATAGCAACTAGTATAAAATTTTATTTTGTGCTCAGTGTGGCTTATTGACAAAAATATTCTTTAGAAAATATTTTGAAATAATTCTCAAGAGTGTGCTCTATAGGTGGTATCTAGCCACTAATACAAAAGTCAGTAATCTGCCAAGAATGAGTGATCTCAGCCACTTTGAATCCCACTTCAATTTACCTCCTAACTTATCAGTAGCATCAAAAAGCTGCAAAGTGCATTTCTGAGTGTCTAGCATTCTCTAGAATATGCCAGCTGCTACACCACCTTCAAATGGAACCACTCTACCTCCCATACTTTCAATGTTTTGGCATGTTTGGCACATCCATCTTCATTATAGCTGAAGAACTATCACAGAAACATGACTCCAGAGAAAGATATATTTGAAGCAAAGATAATATTTTACATGATACAGCCAAATTCTCATCTACAGATTGGTAATGAGAAACTGTTTTCCTCATGGCATCTAGAAGAAAGGCTAATTTCCTTAAATAGAACAGCTGTGTTACTTCTAGTTCTCTCTTTGTTGCTCCATAAAAAACTACCCCAAACTTAATGACTTGAAAAAACAACCATTTTATTATACCACACAAATCTCTAGAACAACATTTTGGGTAGGAGTCAACTAGACAACTCTGCTCCACACAGCAGTGACTGTGGTCACTCAGCAATATTCAGCTGAGGGCGGGGCTGGGCTGAAGTGTCCAAGATAGCTTCACTCACATGCCCGGCACTTGAGTGTAACCACCACCCTCCCCCATATTTACATAGGTATAAACTTTTTTTTTTTTTTTTTTTGAGATGGAGTCTCGCTCTGTCGCCCAGGCTGGAGTGCAGTGGTGTGATCTCGGCTCACTGCACGCTCTGCCTCCCGGGTTCACACCATTCTCCTGCCCCCGCCTCCCAAGTAGCTGGGACTACAGGCGCCCGACACCACGCCCGGCTAATTTTTTGTATTTTTAGTAGAGACGGGGTTTCACCGTGTTAGCCAGGATGGTCTCAATCTCCTGACCTCGTGATCCGCCTGCCTTGGCCTCCCAAAGTGCTGGGATTACAGGCGTGAGCCACCGCGCCCGGCCAAACATATTTTTTTTTTTTGTATTTAACTTACCACAAAGCCCATGAGAAGGCAGACAGTTCTGAAACCATATTCTGGAATCTCTGCCCTGCAGGTCCCTAAAGAGTTAACTCAAAGCCAGATACCCAATGGAGGCTCAATTAATGTGAATTAGAAGCAACAATGAACCAAATCCACAGATAACATTACTCACACTAGATTGAAAAGTGTAATCTAGAAATATTAAGTGTGAAAAAGTTTCTCAATTATAGTTAAATCAGAATTCTTTAATATGTAAAGGCAGTGAACGGAATGTTAAAAAAAAATGGAATGTCACATAACTTCTATAAATTAGGTGGTAGAGGACACCAGTTATGATGCATTTCATGAACCCCTACTCAAAAAGAAGCTACTTGTTGAAACAAAATATGAATTTAAGTGTTTTTTTTAAGTGTTTTTTTGGGGGGGAGGGGCATGGTTGTTCTCTTCCAAAAACTGAAAAAAAAAAAAAAAAAAAAGACGAAAAGAGCATATATGTTATGCCCTTTTCAAAGCAAACCTTAGGTCTTATTGGAATTGTTTCCTAATGCTATATAAATGAGACACGTGAGGCAATATACACTCCCCCACAGATGAATAACATAACATTTAGGTTACCAGGGCCTTTCACAATCTAACCTAACACCACTTTCCCAGGTTCATTTATCACTGGTTTCTTCTCAATACCTTCTGGTCAAAGACCACCAGAAGCACACATGTAATTGACAAACGGGGTTTATTATTCATTGCAGTAAGGGTTCTCTGTAAAATATTAGAAAATGCTTATTGGATTTGGGATTTTTTTCTCCTAATATTGGCTACCTTACCAAATCTTAGGAGGAAGAAAGGCTAGATCAAGGCTAAGATTGTAATTGGTAAAGAAGCAGAAGTCATCAAATTAAACCAGATAGGGTGATGTCCGGTCATTTTCGTGGCTTGGACAATGTTTTATCTGTGTTCAGATGTGATTACACAGTGATCATATTCTTTTCTTAATGAACACTGTCAGAGTGGTCTTGTTGGATGCTAATGCTTGCTGAAATTGTGTACGTTCATCAGGCGGACACCAGTTCCTAGTCCAGGCTAGCTCCAGGTGTCAGAGGCCACTTTTCCCTTCTACTCCTCACACATGCTGTACTCATACCAGACTTGAGTTTTCCCTGCCCTTTGTTCTTCCTTCTTTTTTATTCGATTCCCATTATCTTTAGTGATCATTCCCTTAGCATTTCAGTTTTCTCTCTGAAGTCCTTTGTGCTGCACGTTGTTTGATTACTTGTGTTTATGCTTTGTTTCTTCAGCTAGGATCATTAGCACATATCTCTCAGCATTGGCAAAAGTCCTCGAAATCATTGACACCTAGCATATACTTTATTTTTAAAAAAGAAAGAAAGAAGAGAAAAGGGATGGGTTTATTGTCCTTTTCAACAGACTAGAGTATACGGGGTGAAACTGCTTCACTTGATTCAATAAAATCGTTTCCGGTAACAGGCCCCAGGAATCCTAGACCTAAGCCTGGCGCGAAACTACATTTCCCACAATCCTTCGGGGGCTGATAAGGCTCCGCAATGGTCTGAACTACAATTCCCACAATCCAGGGCGATTTCCGCTTTGTCGCGTTTCCTCAAGGCTCCGCCCCATTTCCCATCTTTCTTTTCAGTCCTTGCGCACCGGGGAACAAGGTCGTGAAAAAAAAGGTCTTGGTGAGGTGCCGCCATTTCATCTGTCCTCATTCTCTGCGCCTTTCGCAGAGCTTCCAGCAGCGGTATGTTGGGCCAGAGCATCCGGAGGTTCACAACCTCTGTGGTCCGTAGGAGCCACTATGAGGAGGGCCCTGGGAAGGTTAGTGTGTAAGGGGCACGGCTTCGTTGGGGGAGGGGGCGCTTGGCTGTGACTCGCGCACCTGCAAGGCCGCCTCCGGGCTGTGGCGTGGGAGATGATAGCCAGAAACCAGGCTGAGACGCAGACTAGCATTCCACTTAGCCCAAGGACCAGTGAGGAAGCTGGGCATCCTAGCGCGTAGCCGCTAAAGGAATGGGCAGGTAGATCCGGAAGCCCTGCCTCCATCAGCCACCTGACGCCCCCTCCCCCGCCCCGCAGAAAGCCCTGAGATGGCTCCGGGAGGCCACGGCTGTAGGTGTGTTGGTTAAATCCGAGCTGGAGGTCATCGGACCCGAAATGAAGGTCATTGGAAAATCATGAGGAAATCAGGGCCTCTGGTTATGGAACAGGCTTTTTAAACTAGCTGCCTAAGTTAGAAGTACTAACCCTTCACCTCAGTTAAGGCTGGGTTTGGCCTCAGGTGTAAATAACTTAAACCACATAGCAGTAACAATCTCGGAGGGTCACACGAGGCCTAGTCATAAAGGCCAGAGAAGGTGCTTGGTAATGAAAAACAAACAAACAAAAAAAACTGTGGGCCAGGTGCGGTGGCGCACGCCTGTAATCGGGAGGCTAAGGCGTTCGGATCACCTGAGGTCAGGAGTTCCAGACCAGCCTGGCCAACATGGCGAAACCCTGTCTCTACTAAAAAGTACAAAAAAATTAGCCGGACGTGGTGGTGTGTGCCTCTAATCCCAGCTACTCGGGAGGCTGAGGCAGGAGAATCGCTTGAACCCGGGAGGTGGAGGTTGCAGTGAGCCGAGATCGGGCCACTGCACTCCAGCCTGGACAGAGCGGGACTCCGTCTCAAAAAAAAAAAAAAAGAAAAAAAAAGAGCTGTATTGCACTTAACATTGCCATGTATCTTCTAAGGTGACTACTTAGGACAGTAGTTTTTTCGATTTTCTAAAGTAAGAAACTTCTCACTATTTGACGTTTGAGTCCTCAAGACCATTCATTGCCTAGTGCTTAGTAAAGCCAGATTATTTCTTGCCATGTAGTGTTTTGTGATGAAGGTCATAGGATTTGAAAGATAAATGTTTAAAACGATGTTATGATTTATGGCATATGTTAACCTGATGATGTAAAATATAACTAGCATTTCCTGTATACTTGTATTTTGATTATTAAGCAGATGATTTGAGATTCAATTTCGATTACTTTTTCTCTTTTTTTCCAACAGAATTTGCCATTTTCAGTGGAAAACAAGTGGTCGTTACTAGCTAAGATGTGTTTGTACTTTGGATCTGCATTTGCTACACCCTTCCTTGTAGTAAGACACCAACTGCTTAAAACATAAGGATGTTTCAGTTCCTCCATTTAACAGGTAGTTAGTGGATTTCTAATCATGTTAAAGCAGGCCTTTTTATTAAGTAGCCTCTTCCCCATCACCCAGAACACACACACAAATACATTGTTGTGTAGGGCTGATTCCTGAGGTTATGTGTAGATGTGGCATTGGTGGAGACTAGTTGTAAACCTATATAAAAATATTTCAATAATGGCCAGTGTTTATTGAATACTACTGCTTATCAGGTACACTTTACATCGATATCTCATGTTCTCTAGCAAGCTTGTGAGGCGGATGATAGTAACCCCATCTGAGACACAGAGATGTTAAGTTGTTCAACATCTCATAACTAGTATAATGGTGGACCAGGACTCTTGCCCAGGCAGTTTCTTGTTGCAGAACTCACACTTTTAACCAGGTAAAACTGATAAACTGATTAATGTTACTCTATCTTGAACACTGTTACTAGAACAGTAGCTGAGAATGTGTCTTTTAAAACACTATAAACATTTCCATTTCTTTTAGAAAGTGGTCACTGTGCTCCTAGTTTTTAAATTGGCTTACAATACTTGTTTAAGTTGTGAAAAATCCCTGAAGATAAAACCCTTCTAGTGCTCCTTGATACATAAGTCCCAGATAATTATGCAATTGTAAATCTGTGCCTCACCAACTCAGCCATGTTGGGAAACTCAAACTTTTAAATATACTTTCCTCATTAAGGCAGTGGTTCTTAAATGAGGATGATTTTACAACACAATGGGGCATTTGGCAATGTGAGACATTTTTGATCGTTCCAACTTGGGGGCAAAATTACCAGTGGTGCTGAGGTTGAGAAGCCTTGTGTCAAGGGGATATGTTAATATATGCTCAAAGGAGTCGTTCATATTGGAAGGTTAGCAGATTTGCTGTGTGTGGATAAAATATTTAGCTTAATTGTCATCAGAGTTTCTCAGAGTAATACTATAGAACACTAGGATGATTGGAAAGAGTGTCATAGTTTAGAGGGGGAATAACTTATCCAAGCTACTAATGCGGAAAGGTTGCGGTGCATGTGATGAAGCAAATCAGTATGAATGAATTCATGATACTGTAAACGCTTTCTGATGTACTACTCAA
Organism: Homo sapiens; assembly: GCF_000001405.40. Classification (NCBI taxonomy): domain Eukaryota; kingdom Metazoa; phylum Chordata; class Mammalia; order Primates; family Hominidae; genus Homo; species Homo sapiens. Next base: position 86,620,577 of record NC_000005.10, read on the forward strand.
ACTGATAGAAAATATTTTCATGAAACTACATGATTTCTGTTAAATGAATGGGATTTTTAAAATGCCATTAATTTCTGTTTTTATTTTGCAGATATGAAGAGCATTTTAAGAGGTGCAGCCTCTGGAAGTGGATCAAACTAGAACTCATATGCCATACTAGATATGTTTGTCAATAAACTTATGACGTGAATGCTTAATGCCTCTTTTTTGAAATAGGGAATGTAATAATTGGCCATTTGCCTACTTTATTATTTGGGTAACATTCCAGTATTACTCTCTGTGATTTAGCTTATTTAATGGTGTTAAACTGAGGTTATATTAAATTTTTGATTCCCAGGTCAGGATTTTGTTGGTAATTTATATAATAAAAGGGAAATACAAATCGATCTTAGGTTTATTTCTATGATTTTTTTTTTTATCGTTAACTTGGAAAAAATACTTTTGCTCTTGCCCTTTGACATAGTAAATTTTTTTTCCCATGATTGATTAATCATCAAGAAAACTTAATTTATTCAAATTGAAGTTGTGGTTAATCAGATATTTAGGAGCTTCATTTTTGTTTTTTTTCCTCTAGGTCTGTAACCTAAAACAGAAGTGTTTGCCTCAGTAAGTGTTTTGGTGACCAGTATTGGTCTTATTTAGAATGAATAAAAGAATATTTGAAATTGAATATAATACCATGAAATTTGTAGTATAGGAAGTACTCCCAATTTATTCTGGTGCTTTGACTATCATATAGCCTAGCAGAAATGGGATAAAAGGTAGTTCTGATTAGTAATTGTATATGTGAATCGAATTTATTTTGTAAGTAGTGAAATGCTGCTTGCCATTTAAAATGTAATGAGGTCATTACATTTTAGGACTTTGTGTAAGATGTGGGACAGTAACTAGCTACTGAGTATTTTCCTCTGCTCACTGTTGGAATACCAGTGATGTTAAAATGCTGTAAAACACTCCAAACTGGTAGTCTGTTTGGCCTCTAGACTTTGGTGAAAGGGTGATGCTCTTTTTAAATCAACATTTAAAAAACAGTATTTCCATAAAAGTGTATTTCTGGATTTTTGAAAAATTGTTCTGAGTGGTTCTATATCTCTTCATTGAAGAAAATAGCTGTGTAGGCCACTCCCCACTATATCATTAGATTTCTTATATGGCCCTTCTGTACAACTACTGATTTGCTAAAAACTTAACATTTTGATATTTTTGTTTCTCGACTACTGCCTCACTTTAGGCTCTTCAACAGTCACCTGACAACTGCTTAATTATGGTGCAACCTTAATTTATATGACTTTGCTCATATATCCCCTGTACTTGTATGTCATTGTTTTTTGATTATTCAGTGATAAATCAGGTATCCTGTATTGAGAGAGTTCCTTGTATGGAACATAAAGGTTTTTTATCTTTGGAAAAAGTTGAAGCGGCCAGGCATGATGGCTCATGCCTGTAATCCCAGCACTTTGGGAGGCCAAGGCGCACGGATCACGAGGTCAAGAGATCAAGACCATCCTGGCCAACATGGTGAAACCCCGTCTCTACTAAAAATACAAAAAAACTAGCTGGGAATGGTGGCATGTGCCTGTAGTACCAGCTACTCAGGAGGCTGAGGCAGGAGAATCACTTGAACCTGGGAGGCGGAGGTTGCATTGGGCTGCGAACATGCCATCGCACTCCAGCCTGGGTGATGGAGCGATACTCCGTCTCAAAGTAGAAGCAAGAGTAAGAGTTTAAGGTTCGTTAGATGATTTTGGTTTTCCTGGAAATTATGGTAAGGCTTACCTCACTGGATTGTTTTTGAGATCCAGTAAGTTATATAAAAACTTCTCACAAGTCCTAAATGAATATGAATTTTTTGGAGAGGATGTTCAAATATATATTAGGAATCAATAGTAACAGTTATGGGTAGCTAGGTCTAGCTAGAAAAGTATTTGAGGGATATATGTGAGTGAGAAAAAAACCTCCTCTGCCTGTCTTGTAATAGTACAGATTGTGCCATCCCCATAAAAAGCCTTCAGCAGGCTGGCTGTAAGTGCGTAAGTTTATTGTAAGTGGTAGAGGGTGTATAACTGCTTAGTTTCTGTGTTAGGGTTCTCTAGACAAGCAGATCAAGAGGATGCACATAGAAAAAATTAAAATTGTCATCTGATTCTGGAGGCTTGGGTTGAAAATATGGGTATGCCCGCGGGCTGGAGACTCGGCAAAGGCAGTCGCTGTCAGAATTCCTCCTTGCGGGAGGACCTCCTTGTGGTCAGTCTTTGTTCATTAAGATCTTCAACGAATTCAAGAAGCTTAGCCACATAAGGAGGATCAGCTTTACTCCAAGTCCACTGACTTAAATGGTAAACTCATGATAATTCAAGAAACACCTTCACAGAAATATCTAGAGGATTGTTGATCCAAATATTTGAGCACTGTGTCCTTGCCAAGTTGACACAAAATTAACCATAACAGTAGTTCAGTTTTCTATTTCCCTAAACTGGTTTTTAAAATTCAAGCCAATATTTAAAACCAGGAGGTCTCCATAAAAATCCAGATTCTCGGGGAAAAAAAAAAAAATTACACTGGATGAACCCACAAATGCCCATGTGAAACTAATCAGGACCAAGTAAAAAGTTTGTACCTTTTGCAGATGCTTCCCTAACTCACTAGAATACTGGAATAGGAATTTTGGTTAGAATCCAGGATTTGTTTTAAAGAGAAGTCACTATCACTGTTTCCGTAATTAAGTTATGGCCACAATGAAGGAAGTAATTCAAAATGTCTTAGGTTTTGCTGCAGAGACCATAGAGGTTAAGAATGTGGGCTCAGAACTAAGTCTTGGCTGGATTCAAAGCCAGGGTTGATAAATTCCTCGTCTTCGACAATCTGTACCTCCCTTTTATCTAATTTGGTGTAGTTGTGAAGATTAAAAATGAAAATAGAGGCCCAGCGCAGTGGCTCACACCTGTAATCCCAGCACTCAGAGGCCGAGGTGGGTGAATCACGAGGTCAGAAGTTCGAGACCAGCCTGGCCAACATGGTGAAACCCCATTTCTACTAAAAATACAAAAAAATAGTTGGGTGTAGTGGTGGGCGCCTACAATCCCAGCTACTTAGGAGGCCGAGACAGGAGAATTGCTTGAACCCAGGAGGCAGAGGTTGCAGTGACCCGAGGTCACACCACTGCACTCCAGCCTGGCAGACAGAGCAAGACTGTCTCAAAAAAGAAAACAGAAAAAAAAAAAAAGAAAATACACCTAAATTGAGGCAAATTTTCTTAAGCTTTTAGTGTAGAGTGCTTAATTGAAACAAGCGAGATGGGGGAAGTATAATGGGCATTGTGTAAGTCGTTAAAGTTGATCCCAGAGCAATTCTGCAATAGTTAATAGATTGGTCTGTGCTGTAGACACTGTGTCTTCAAAAGTGATGCCAGAATGATAGTGCTAAAATGCAAGTCATCATTTTACTCACTGTAAGACACCTCACCATGACAATGGTCACTTCCCTATAGTTTCAGCCTCATCCCAGCCATATCACACAGTTTTATGTACCACCTCCAAGTCTTAATTTAGCTCAGGTGCCACCTTTTCTATAAAGCCTTCCCTTTTTATTTTATTTTTTTAAGAGATAGGGTCTCGATTTGTCACCCAGGCTGGAGTACAGTGGCACAATCATAGCTGGCTGCCACCCTCCAGGGGATCCTCCTGCCTCAGCATCTGGAGTAGTTGTGGCTACAGGGGCTTGTCACCATCCCTGGCTAGTACTTTTTATTTTTTGAGGAGACTGAGTCTCACTGTATTGCCCAGGCTGGTCTCATACTCCTGGCCGCAATTACTCCTCCTTTGAGAGATTATAGGCATGTGCCACCAAACCCAGTCCCTTCCTGATTTAACACACTCCACATAAATCTCTAACACCCTGTAAACAGCCTTATAATTCAGCAGGTACTGTAATTACTGATTTCCTTATCTACCTTTCATACCAGCTTGTGATCTTTCTGAGCCCAGAGAGCCTTCTTTATTCATGTATCCTGCATCTATAATTTAGCTGGTGATCCATTAACACTCTATTCTATTAATCCTTTCAATAATCTGAAGCCAAGAATAAAAATTACCTAAAAACAAATTCTAGGCCTCTTACGCACTAAATGTATGTTTCAATGCTTTATGAATAAAAATGAATTTTTCCTGGATAGTTGGAAATTGGTTCTCCCACCAAACATAAATGTATTGAAATAATCCAGTTGAAAAAAAATGAGTTTAAATTTGCACCAAAATGTAACTCAACTATGTCACCACTGTTTAGTCTATCTGATATCTCTTTTTCTTTGCAGACAAACCCTTAATGAAGGAAAGTGTGTTGATATACATTCCAGGAAAGCTCTTCATCTTATATCAAGCCAGCATTTTAAGAAGCACTGGCTTAAAGAACTGGGGAATTTTTTATTTTTTTTAATCTTGTGTAACAAAAGATGGAGCTCAGGAATTTTAGGGCCCTCCAAGTTCCTCAGCCTGTTTTTTCTAAACCATTTCTTTCATTCTCATAAGATGGCTGCTACAGTTCCAGTTATCCCATACAGACTTGACAATACCCAGCAAGAAAAATTACTGTCTTTGTTATTTTTCAAAGTGAAGAAAGCTTTCCTTCAGACTATCCCTCATTAGTCACTGTCCAGAAAAGTGATAAATTCACTTCTGAATATAACACGGGCAAGGGAATAGCATGACAATGATTAAATTTGATCAATTAGCATTTTCTCACAAGTCTTACGTGGGCAGAGGAGATACTGAAACAAGTCAGGATTCTACCAGAAAGGGAAGAGAAAGTGGCTATTGGGTATGCAAAAGACACTGCCTGCTGCAATTATTCTATATACTATACTAAAAAGATGGACTGGAATGCCATAAAATGTAATAAGCCTTCATTTTAGTGTTTCCAATAAATAAAGATCACAGCATAGGTCTTTAGAGTAAGCTATATAGAATAGAGCAGAAATACCGTTTATGCTTTTTCTTTCTGTCTCCTTTCAATAGAAAATAATAATATGAGCTTTTATATGATTTATACTCTGCCTACATCAAAACCTTTTTAAAAACTTCATCTATTATCAAATGGTGTTTTGTTATCATAGCTATTGTAACGTTATAACCCAGAGGGAAGATAGCCACTTTCCATATATCTTAATACAGTGATGATTTTTTACTGAGTATATAATTCAAAAAATGTATAGTTGATTTGTGTGGTACCCACATTTCCTTCCTTAACCTGGTATAGTAATCATTAAGGCTTTTCATAAATATGACAGCTCTATTTCTGTACACATAGGATCAAAATCTAACCCCTTTGCTTTGACAATAAAAAACTGAGAAGTTACATGCATTACCTCTACATGAAAGCTCTAAAAGGCAGTATACCCTTCACCAACTTCCCTTCTTCCTGCTACAGGGATATAGCCTCCATCAGCCTAGGTTCCTGAAAGACTCTGTAAGTGTAGCCCCATGTCAGATGTATAGAGTGAGCAAGAAATTTTCATTGTTATAAGCATTTGGGGTTTGGGGATCATTAGTTACTGCAGTAAAAGTTGTCCTACCTTCAGAATACTTAAGCACTTCATATGTCCTTCAAAAGTATCACTTATCTACTTCTCTGATTCTTCAGTCAAAGAATTGTGTCAACTAGATGATCTTTTAAGGACTCTTCCCAATTAAAGTGAATTGTATCTACAATTACAAATGTGGGTACCACACAAAAGCCTGACTCAGAGGTGGTAAGATCTCTTTTCAGCACTTTTCATGTGTGGACAGGGGCCAGAATGATGGAGATAAGTCATCTTGGGCTTTCAAAGTGGTTTTCAGATGCAGCTCTGAGCAACTACCTACTAGCCATTTCCACCTTATCTCTCATTTTCATGGACTCTATTTACCCATTGTATACTTTTGTAAAAATTGGAAAGTGAGTCTCTTCTTCCAGAGGGACACAGCATCATGCCAGAGCCCTCGTGCTTTCCTGTTCAGTACCTCTGTATCACTGTAAAACAGTACAGCTTTGTGTTACATTCCTGTACAGTCATCTCAACTTTGAATTTTGCAGATTATTCCTACTAAAATTCACTCCTCCCCCCAAATTTTCCCAGCTCTAACAAAAGGTGGATAGCATAATTATTATGGGTTGAATAGGGGTCTGTATTTTTTAGAATAAGCTTTGTGTGTTTTCTTTGCTGGATTCCAAAACATAGCACTATGCTTAGTAAATATTAAGCTTTCAACAAATATATTTAGATAGATGAAGGCATGGAAGAATACTAATCAGATTTAATGGCATCTTCGAGTTTAAAAGCATTAGAAACCAGTCTAGGAAGTTCTCTACTTGATGCATCCCTCTCTAAGGAGGACCAGGAGGTGATTGTTAAGTACCCATATATTGATAAATTTATCAGGGTTATCTTAACCCTAATTAGCTTAGTATTATCAAAAAAATTTCCCATTCATTATGTTGTGAGAGGGATTTTATACCATCTATGAAACTGCCTAGTGTGAAATCTTTATTCACGCTCCAGCCTTCATACTAGCTACCAAAACAATTGTTTAAAAGTGATTGTTTATTTTCCCCAGACAGAATATATACTAAGTTGAACCATATGAAATTACTGAATTTTACTGTTTTTTTAACCCATCAGATGGTAATTTCTGATGGTTCAGTGGTCATAGTTTCCCTTTTCAGTTACTGGACCACCCGTAGAGTTCCTTTCACCCATATATATATATATACACCTGTTTTGGGAAATTGTGGATTTTACCAACACCAAAAATTGACTAATTGGGTTGTATACACTCAGTATAGCAGAACTAATTCTGCTTAATCTTGGTACCATTATTTCATTACCAATTATACAACAGATGGTCTGAAATTCCCAAATGTTGCCTTTTACTAAGAGTCTGCGCTTTGGGGAAATAGTTCTGAATTACACAGCTCTGAAATCCATTACTTTTGGATGCAGAGTACAATGAACTTACAGCAAGACTATGGCTTGCAATGTTTTTCATTGTGGGATTTAATGTAAATTATCTGGATTTTAGAAAAGGAATTCTAAGTATTTCCATGTTTTCATAGGAAAAAAATGGACTTATTTTAAATCTAAATCTCCCTTCACATCCTCCAAAAAAAATCATGCTGATTGTCAGGAAAAGAAAATTCACTCATAACCTATACCTTTAATGTAGCTAGGAAATAGATTTTAAATTACCTACCAATAGGAAAATAAACACTTGAGACAAGCAAAATTGTATCTAGAGCCTACACCCAATGGGAGACAAGCAGAGATGAGGGCAAGATGGGAATATAGATGAGGGATGTAGGGTAGGGAGAATGGGGATGGTAAAATACAGATAAAATTGCTCAAACCAAGTGCCACTCAGAGCAAGAAAATACTGAGAGTTAGTTTGAGCTCTTGTAGGTGACTGATGGGGAATTGAAAGACAGGAACTTGAAAATCAATGGAGCCCAAGGCAAGAGTTTCAGAATGGCACCACTTCCAAGTAAATAGAAGTGTCAAGAAGATTGCGCCCTTGGTGCCTTAGAGGTAAAAGAAGAAAAAGGAAGCAAAAGGGGGAAATGAATATTCCTGTTAAAACAAAAAGAGGGTCACAAAATCAGAAGACACCAAGTTTTTCCCAACCAAACAAGTACATTGGTTAAAGAAACTATAATATTTCACCATATCAAGTGAAATACCCTTGAACAAAAAAACCTAGTTATCTTCCTCAAATTCTCAAAGGTTAATAATAATTATATTAGCACATAAAAAATCAAAGCAAAAATATGACAGATGACAGTCACATAAAGTTATTATAAGAATAAAGTAGAAATTTAGAAGCCTAACATTTTATTTCAGCTGATGAAAATTCTGCCCCTAATAAATACCATTCATGCAGCAGAAAAAATCCCTAACACAACCTAATCTGAATTAACCTCAAACAACCATTTGCAAATATTAGGGGAGAAAAAACACCATAAATTAGAAATTCAAAAATTTAGAACAGGAACAGAATGGGGAAGCGATGGGAAACAAGAGTCAACCAAACGGGGAGAAAAAATACATGAAAAACACAGTAATCTTTTAAATTGTAAGATGCCTAAGGATAGATTTGCCTAAAAGTTTAATAAAGGAACTGGAAGAAAGGTATATAACAGCTAAGAAATAAATACAAATCAAAGACAGAGAAAGGTAAAATGTGCATACAACGAAATGCACAAAATCATAATTGTTCAATGAGTTTAGACAAATGTATCTGTATAATGCAAATGCCTATTAAAATACAGAACGTTACCTTAATCTTTAAAGTTCTCTCATGTCCTTTGCCAGTCAATCCCTGTCCCCAACTTCCAGAAGCAATAAATGTTACGATTTTCACCATAGGTTATTGTAGTCTTTTCTAGAAATTCATATTATATATATTTATTATATAAAAGTTTCAGAATATAGAGATGATGCTTTGTGTATATGCTACTAAATGATGTTATTTTAGAATATGTGAATATTCATATCAGTTCAAGCACTGTCAAAGCATTTCCCAGAGAAAACCTGACCTAAGAAATTAGAGATGACATAGTATAATTAAAAAATTGTGGAATATGGAATAAAAAGATGTATGGAGTAAAAGAATAAGCATTATCAGGTGAGGTGAAAATTTTTTGTCTCAGAGGATCTTAAGTAGTGTTAAAGAAAAGACAAAAGAAAAAAATTGACAAATAAAGATTAAAAGAATGATGAAGTATCCTTGAAGGCAACTGTGACATATTTACATTTTGTGTCTGTTACCTAACACAGTTTCTGGGAAACAGTAAATACTTGCTAAGTGTCTGTGGAAGCGAATTCAATGGACGAGCATGCCAACCAAAGGGGAGATTATGAACACAGTTCAAGATAAGAAAATAGCTAAGATTTGTGAAGTATGAAGAAGTCCTTGGCTTATTGAGTACCCTCGAGGAGACTTGGTAGACATGTGTGTGGCAAAGAAGAAAGGTCCTGGGTGGGAGTGGGATGGGTGAGTTGTTTATGTGACAACTTAAGGTCTAGAAGTGATGGTGGGATACAGCCCTTTACAATTTTTAGCATATGAATGACAAGAGCAATATTATATTTGCAACTACCTGCCTGATGACCTGGGAAGAAGAGAAGCTGTGGAGAAGAATAACCAGAAACAAGTAATCTGAGAATGGGAATATGAAGGTTCAATCAGGTTTAGAACATTATTCAGTTTAAGAGATATTTGAAAATAAAATGCAGAAAAATCATGTGTCCTGTTGTCCCTAATTGTCCTGTTTCAGCAATGGGCTTCTTACACTTGTGCACTTCATTAGATTCTTTAGGAATTCTATTATATTGTGTACATGTGCAAAATACAACACTGGATTTTTATATAGTGACTCAGTAAAAGAAATGAGAGTAGAAAATTCTTCACGGGGCCAGCCAATGTGAAAAGTGCTTTCACTACTCTATTTCCATAGTTAATTTAGTTCTGGTCTTAAAATCTAAATGCCTCTGTATTCTAAGACCTGTGGTAGTCTTGTGATGTCTTGAATACTTCGCACTTTCTCTGACATTATAAAATAACTTTATAGTGCAGTTAATCAAATGACAGTAAAAAAAGTACTCTACAGAGAGCTCATTTTAATATTTAATAAGATGAATGCTGATCTCTAAAGTTGAAGGCAGCCCCATTTACATAGGTACATAGGATGTCAGTACTCCATCAATGCAGTAACTGTCAGTCCAGAAACTCTATGTGCTCTTCCCAAGGAGTTGTTTGACAAAGACATATATTCATTTCACTCAATATCTATTTAACTCCTATGTTTAAGGTACTGTAGTGGCCTTTGAGAGAAACACTAAGAGAAGTACGTATTCCCCATCTTTCAGGAGTGCAGAAACTCAGGAAAATATAGATGCTTATGCACATAAATTGAGTACAAATTAAGATGCCGTAAGTACTGGAAAAGAGGCTGAAAAAGGGTAATGGGAGGAATGGGGTCAGCGGCTGGAAGCCTAGTGTATCTGAAACAATATTTTGGAATTCATGTCTTAAGGCATGTGAAGAATCTGAGCTCATAGATACGGAAAAGGGTTGGTTATACAAAGTATATATACATATATATATATATAGAGAGAGAGAGAGAGAGAGAGAAAGAGAGAGAGAGAGAGAGAGAGAGAGTTTTGCTCTGTTGCCCAGGCTGGAGTGCAGTGGCATGATCTTAGCATGCATCACCGTGCCCAGTTGAGGTTGCAGTGGAAATGAAGGCTTTATTGAGAAGTTAATATTTAAGCAAAAACTTGAGAAATCTGAGAAAAGAGTGTTTCTAAGGCAGAGTTTTGTCTATCAGGCTTAAAGAATAGTAAAACAGTCAGAGTAGCTAGAGTATACCAATGAGATACAGCCTAGTAAGAGATAAGTCACTGGGGGCTGGATAAAGTTGAGCCTTGTAAGCCTTTGTAAGGACCTTGTCTTTTACTCTGAATGAGAAGGGGAATTAGTGGAGACTTTAGAGGAAAGGAAGGACAGATCTTAAAACTTGCAATCTAACTTAAATTTTAAAAGGTTCATTGTGGCTGCTACATTGAGAACCCAAGACAGTAGGAAGCAAGATTGAAATCAGAAGACAAAGGAGAAGCATATTCAGTATTCAGACAAAGGATAATGGGCTCTTGAACCAACATGGATTTATTTTGTATTAGCCTGGGTTCTCTAGAGAAACACACCCGATAGGAGATAGACATCTACATCTATCTATCATCTATCTATCTATCTGTCTATCTATCTATCTATCTATCTATCTATCTATCTATCTATCTGGAGAGGAATGGGGAGACTGACCATAAGGCATCGGCTCATGTGATTATGGAAGTTGAGAATTTCAAGATCTGAAGTTGGCAAGCTGATGGTATAATTCCAGTCTAAGTCTGAAGGCCTGAGAACCAGGAAAGCTGATGGTGAAGTTTCAGTTCAAGTCCAAATCTAAAAGCAGAAGAGTGACATCTTAGCTCAAAAACAGGCAGAAAGAAAGAATTCTATCGTAGCCTATTATTCTATTCAGGCCTACAGCAGGCTGGATGAGTTCCACTCATGTTGGGGAGAAAATATGCTTTACTTAGTCTACTGATTCAAATGTTAATCTCTTCCAGAAACACCCTCACAGACATACCCAGGAATCATGTTTAACCAAATATCTGGGCACTACATGGACTAGTCAAGTTGATGCATAAATTTAGCCATTAGATATTTTGAAGGTAGAGCTAATAGGATTTCCTGACAAGAATTTCCTGGCACATTGGTTGTTAAAGGAGTAGGAGAATGAGAGAAGTCAAGGATCCTTCTCTCTATTTTTACATAACAACAAACTGTATCTAAGAGAGTGTCCAGATATGCTCAAGGACATGGTACCTATTAAATGACACAAGGGGATTTGAACTCAGGCCTGGTTCATGCCACATAAGCTCTTAATCTCCCCAATAGGTTCTCTCACACTGGGTGGGAAAGAAGGCAGAGGTTGCTGTAGAATCAATAATTCCCCTAAATGATGTTTACAACATTATTTTGTAAACAGTTTCTCTTATTTGCGTGTCTTCACCTTCCAAATATCCCTTATTTCTCTATGTGTCTGCCTTCTAAATTATTTAAATTTTCCCTCTATTCAGTTTTCAAGTTATCATTTAGCACCTGGATCCTTATCAAGGCTAAGATAAATGCTCTTGTTTGGAGCCAAACCTATGCCAGAAATATAATTATGAGAAAAAAAAATGAACCATTAAAAGAGGCTCTGTCAAAAGACTTACACAGCAAAAAGCTTCTTTTTTTTTTTAATTTTTGATGTGGAAATTAGTATATGCTTACCATCCATAAGCATATTGTTTGTATGTGAATTAAATTCACAATGCCTACAAATACTTTATACTATTATTAAGAGGTGGGAAATGATAACTAGTTATGCTTCAGATATTTCTTCCCAGATGTCAAACTAAATTACAGGTGAGAAAAAACCAAACACCATGTGAAATACCACAACGATATGCACAAAGTACAGTCACCATTTACCCCAACTTTTTGAGGATAGGAATTTTATGGGAGATAAGAATTATTTTTATTATTTTCATCAGGAAGATAAAATGTTCCTCTCCCTGCTATGTTAAGATTTTGAAGACAGACCCCTGTGGCTTGGTGTTGATGAGCTAAATTGAAGAAAAAAAAAAAGACTGAAGCCATGGATAAAGTTCATGTTATTTTATATTGTGTTCTGTTAGGCTTTCTGTCCACAGAAGGAGAAATGTTTAGAACATGATGCCCTGGTTCCTCAAGAGACTCTCAGATTCCCCTTGAAAACTGGATTAGAATTTACATTCAGAAAGATTTTGGCCAGGCGTGGTGGCTCACGCCTGTAATCCTAGAACTTTGGGAGGCCAAGGTGGGCGGATCACGAGGTCAGGAGATCGAGACCATCCTGGCTAACATGGTGAAACCCCGTCTCTACCAAAAATACAAAAAGTTAGCCGGGTGTGGTTGCAGGCACCTGTAGTCCCAGCTACTTGGGAGGCTGAGGCAGGAGAATGGCCTGAACCCGGGAGGTGGAGCTTGCAGTCAGCCCAGATCGTGCCACTGCCCTCCAGCCTGGGCAACAGAGCCAGACTCCGTCTCAAAAACAAAACAAAACAAGAAAACAAAAAGAAAGATTTTATAGCTGATATTTAGATCTTCATTTAATTTCTCTTAATTAAGTAATAACATAACCTCAGTTTAAGAGCTTTACTTTACCCTTTAAAGGGAAAAATTTGAAGTTGCTTTGGGTCTTTTAAATTCGAAGTCTAATTTACAGTCAGTTTGAATGACAACTGCTGGAAATCATCACTAGAGAAAAGTACGATGAAGGTGACAGCAGAAGCCAAGCCCAGAGAGGTGTTTGTCCCCCTAAGGCACATTCTGGGCCAGGTCCATGTAGTTAAATTACTTTATTATACCAAGATTGAGTCAGACTTGAAGGAGTTGGAGTCCCCAGCTTCTTATAGAAACTATGACTTGTACAGAATTTATTCTGAGGAAGCCCTTTTTTCTCAATACTTACTATTGCTTTGAGCCTCCCTCACATTTGAACGTATGAGACCCTTGTTAGATGCATTCATATTGACATATAGACACTTAGACACCAGGTAACAAGGCCTCTGCTATGTTTTGAATTTCCCCTCCAAAACTCATGTTGAAATTTAATTGCTATTGTGATGGCATTAAGAGGTGCCACATTGGGGATCAAATTTCAACATGAAGTTTGGAGGGGGAAAACATCTAAACCATAACACATTTCAAAACAGGATGAAACTCCAGAATCTGAAGACCTCTCTAGGTAGGTAGGTTTTAAAAGTTGAGATATGTATGGGCTATCTGGCTCCCGGAGAGATTTTATTTACCTATCAAAGGGTTGAAGTCAAGAGATCCTTTTAGAAGGGAAAGGTGACAGCTGCCTCCTTCCTCTTTATAAGCAGGGAAAAATAATTTTTCCTTGGCCATTTATGTAGGTCAATTGACCTGGCTTTTACTATGCTGCCATAAGGGTTAGGACTTGGGCAAAGGGGGCCCAATGCACTTCTTTACTGTGAGGAATTAGTACTAGGAAACCTGTCTCTGACCCAGAACACCTTGTATGTGTATTCAGGATGAAATGAAGAAAGAGAAGCATTTAATATGTAACAATAATGAAATAAAGTAATCCCAAAGTCAAGGTGGTTTAACAAAACCAAGGTTTATTCTACATGATAATTAGTCATCAAGCTGGGTGGGGTAGTAGAGGTCTGCTTCTTGTTTAAGGACTCAGGATGACAGAGGTTTAGTCCTCTCGTGATACCATCACAATAATAGAAATTCTTAGGCTCACTGTGTCAGGGGAAAAGAGTACAAGGGAAGTAGTGGAGAAGAAACCTGCTTGTAGGCTTCTACTAGAAGAGTGTGCCACTTCTGCCCAAACATCAGCCAGGACTAGTCACACTGCCGTGCTTAACAACAACAAGATTTGAAAATGCTGGGGAGCATGTGGAAATGTAATATATGGTAATTATCATCGGTATACTTTTGCTTCTGTTCACATCATTCCAATAGCTGCAACTTTCTGGTTTTTCTACTACCAACACCTTAAAACACAACAAAATTTTCTCTCCCTGTCAAGCCATGCTTACACATTTGGAATATAGACAATTGCCATGGGTTATTATTGAAGGATTGCCATTGAATTAAAAGAAAAAGTTGTTGATCATGAAATCCAGGGATGATGTATTAATCCATTCGGGATGCTATAACAAAATACCTTAGACTAGATGATTTATAAACAATGGACATTTATTGCTTACAGCTCTGGAGTCTGGGAAGTCCAGGATCAAGGTACCAGAAGATTTAGTGTCTTTTGAGGGTTTGTTCCTCATAGATGGCCTGTCTTATGTGTTCTTACATGGCAGAAGGGGCAAACAGGCTCCCTCAGGCCTCTTGTATAAGGTCAGGAATCTCATTCATGCGGGCAGAGTCCTCATGACCTAATCATCTCCCAAACACCTCACCTCTTAATACCAATATCATGAGGTTTATGTTTCAACATATGAATTTGGGGAAAACACAAACATTCAGACCATAGCAAATGGTTTAAAAGTTTTGTTCCTGGCTGGTCACGGTGGCTCACGCCTGTAATCCCAGCACCTTGGGAGGCCGAAGTGAGCAGATCATGAGGTCAGGAGATTGAGACCATCCTGGCTAACATGGTGTAACCCCGTATCCATTAAAAATACAAAAAATTAGCCGGGCGTGGTGGCGGGTGTCTGTAGTCCCATCTACTCTGGAGGCTGAGGCAGGAGAATGCCGTGAACCCAGGAGGCGGAGCTTGCAGTGAGCTGAGACCGCGCCATTGCACTCCAGCCTGGGTGACAGAGCGAGATTCCGTCTCAAAAAAGAAGAAAAAAAAATGTTTTGTTTCTATCATACTTCTCTATCATGTGCTGCTTGTTCTCTAGCCAACGTGAATATAATTTTGCCTTCTCTCTGTTACTTCTATGAGGGTTGACTGTAAACTGGCTCCAGTGGCTATTTTTGTGAAAATAGTTCTGACAGAGGAAAAGCACAACAGAATTCTGGTTGCTAGGCCAAATAATCACGGCTAATATGATTTGTAGTTATTTGATTTTTTTTCTCAGTATAATTTAGAAGCTATATCGTAAGATCTATTCTTTCTACAGTGAGAAAGAATTAAAAGTTCAGAAATGTCATTTGAGGCTACTGAGAATACTCAAAGGAAAGCTCAGTGCTCACTCTTATTGGGTATTTGTAATATGCTTATTTGTGCACTTAATTCTCATTATTCACAGTATTTATGTTCTACAAAGTTGTGGCAGACACTGAATTAATAAATACTGAATTATTGCTCATAGGGGAAATACAAGGTTAGGTTTCTGCAAGCCCCATTCACAACATTTTTTTTCCCAATGGATCCATACATAAACATGTTTTTGTGTTTCTGTTTAAAGACATTTTATTTAATGTATATCATTGATTCATTAACATTGAACTCATAGCCATCAGCACTATAACTCATGCCTAAACAAAGCTTATTTAACACATGTACTTCTTCTGTAAGATATATCACAGCCTTCTTGCACTTAGCAACACTAGGCAGTATTTCTGCACTGAGCTTGGGGGCCATTTAAATAACAAAATTACCAACAGAAAGCACAAAAATGCAAAATACGTGTCACTAAATAGATTGCAGAAAGAATATTTGTTTACAGTATCAGATTTGAAACAAGAAGGCAAAGCACCATTTTGTTCCTCAACTGGGAACGTGCACATAATTACATTCAAAGTTTTTGCCACTTTGCTCATGTCCATGAATGACTGCAAAAGTGCAGTAACTGTTGATTTTGGAGTTACAAATAAATTTTTGTGAGTAGGCAAATTCACAATTGCAGAATCTTTGAATAAAGAGAATCAACTGTATTTGCAAGGAGACTGAAAAATGAAATAAACACCACATCACTGGATGCTGGCCATGCTTTGCCCTCTCACTGAAGTTACTTAAGAAAAAAAACTGGACAACTTTGGTGGGAAATTTTGTGGAATGGATTAAAACATGGGAGAAACTTGGGGACTAGATGATTTTTAAAGTCCCTACAAACAATGAGCTTTTATGACTTTATTTTGCACAGATTATACACCAGAATATCAAACCTATTAATAGAAGAGGGCTTTGACCTTAGATTTTTAAAATTAATAATTAGCTAAGGTTTTAAGTTTCTATAAAATCATAATTTTTTATGTAATAAATACCTTTTTCTGGCAGTGTCCCAGACATTGTTTTGATTTTCAAAACACTAAAAAAAGTTATAAGATAATAGGAGACTTATCACACACACACAACTCCTATAGAATATACACTAAAGCACTTATGCTCAAATTTACATAATTAAATTGATATATACTTTCCAGTAAGTTTCCTTGGAGAACTAAGCTAATTATCTTTTTGTGGTACTACCACCATCACGGTCTCAAAACATTTTTCTTTTTTGAACTTCTTTCTTTAAGATATTTCAGAGTCTATTTCTAAATCACACACACACACACACACACACACACACGCAAATTTGATCTCTTTAAGTTATTTCAGAGTCTATTTCTAAATCACACACACACACACACACACACACACACACACACACACACACGCAAATTTGGTCTCCCTACTTTACATTACCTTTATTTGAACTCAACCTGGTACTATGCAGTTTTTTTCTTGTAGAGTCTTCATGAACTCCTAAAATTCAAATCTGCTGCTACTTATGTTGAAGACTTGCCTCATTTACAAACTATTCAAAACACAGTTCTCATTGTGTTCAATGAGGACAGCAATTATGACTTTGTGCCTATAACTTCAACCTCATCCTCTTATACACTGCTTACTATAGAGCAGGTAATAAGTATCTGTTAAACAGCAACAACAAAAAAATGAAAGGGGCCAGGTGTGGTGGCTCATGCCTGTTATCCTAGCACTTTGAGAGGCTGAGGAGGGTGGATTGCTTGAGGTCAGGAGTTCAAGACCAGCCCTGGCAACATGGCAAAACCCTCAAAAAAATTAACTGGTCATGGTGGTGCGTGCCTGTAGCCCCAGGCACATGGGGGAGCTGAGGCAGGAGGATACCTTGAGCCCAGGAGATCGAGGCTACAGTGAGCTGAGATTGTGCCACTGCACTCTAGCCTGCGTGACAAAGTGAGAGACCCTGTCTCAGAAAAAATAAAATAAAATAAATAAATATAAGAAAAAGAAGAAGCACAGAAACTGAACGTACACATGAGATGGATACAATTAAGTATAAAAAGCTGTCACCTGAGAGTGTATGTTCATCAAAAAGAATGATCTCTTTCCTCTATGGTGGTGGCAATTCCTTATTTGCCATTTTAAAACTATTTCTATTACTGTTATAAATATCATTATATAGAAAAAATTCTAAGTGTAACGCTTAGCCAGACATTTGTTAGTGTGGCAGATTGTATTTATCCACATTTGGACACAGCAATATATATCCCATGTCACATTCTTACAATGTGATATTGATAACGCCTCCATTAAATGGTGCATCTATGTTCCCCCTTGAACCTGAGCAGAAATTTTTAACTCAATCCATCAATAATTGTGGTTAAAAAAAAAAGGTCATAAAAGATAATAAAGGTCTTAGCTTGCTCTCTTTCTCTCTTTGGGGGTCCGGAGTTAGCATGTAAGAAACCGGACTATCCTGAAGATTCCATGCTGGAGAAATCACACAGATCACAGAGATGGAGCAAGAGGCCCAAGCAGCCCCAGATGTTTCAGTCCCAGCTGTTTGAATTTTTGCAGATGATATACCAGTAAGGTGAGTAAAGAAACTTAGGAGCTGACTCAGCCACAGCCACATGACTGCAACCTCATGAGACACCTTGAGCAAAAACTTTATGGCTGAGCTTCTCCTGAATTCTTGACCCACAAAAACTGTGTATTAAATGATTATTGTTTTATTAAATTTTGAATTGATTTTGTACACAGCCATTATGAATGAAAGAACTTGCCTAAGCAAAAGGAATGACTGCCAAAGCTCTAAGATCTGGGCCACCATATGAGATAATGTAGATTTTACTGATTCAAAGAGCTAAACCCTTACCATTATTAATTTTCTAAAAATTTAGTGTTCTGAATTCAGTTTTCAAGTGCTGTCGCTTACATTTTCTCTTACAATTTGATTATGTAAGTTGTCTGTACTCATGCATGTGTGCACACACATGTATGTGTGTAAACCTGAAGGTAAACTGCAAATGAGTATATTTCTAAGAATATAAATTTGGGAGTACAGAAGTGCATAATATCCATAAAAGTTATAAGTTTCATGCAATTAAAATCAGACTTGTCTCTTTAATTTCTCAGGTATTTCAAAGTCCATTTTTGCAGCTTTGCAGTAAAATATACTTTGATGTTAGAATCTGCTTTTTAGTTCTTAAAAATAGATCAAGTTAATAGTTATTTCTATTTTGTATCAAATGGATACATTTTGTGTTCTACCCAAGGTTTCTCAGCCCACATACTCCATCAACATTTTCTTATATATATATTTTAAAACTGTTTCTGATGGGTTATTATCTAAGGGTGGGTTGGTAGAGATTTGATTTAATACATTTTCTTAACTCCAAAAATAATTTTTTCAAACTAAAAGAAGATACTGCCTTTGCTGATTTTAAGTTTATTACAGCAAAAATACCTTTTATATCAATATTTCACAGTCTATTTTTAAACCAATAATTATCAATAATCTAGCTAATTCTGTCATTAATTTCTTTATTACCTTGAAAGAAAGAGAAAATCCATACAGACTAAGCAACAAAAAATTCCATATTTAATGGAAAACATTTTGTTGCCAAGCGGGGAACCCAACTCAGCACTGAGTTTGAGCTATGAATTTTAGAAGATGATATAGGAGGTAGGTCTTTTAAAGCCAAACATATCTCTGTTTCATTCTGAAACGTATTCAAGAGTTGCAGACTAGCTGGCAAAGTGTGGGCTTGTCAATAAGGTAAAGGCTGAGTTGAAGGGAAGGTG
Organism: Homo sapiens; assembly: GCF_000001405.40. Taxonomy (NCBI): domain Eukaryota; kingdom Metazoa; phylum Chordata; class Mammalia; order Primates; family Hominidae; genus Homo; species Homo sapiens. The sequence goes on from NC_000005.10 coordinate 86,639,687, forward strand.
GCTGCTTCTTTATAGATGGAGCACCCACCTGAAAACTGTGGTGTTCAGCTACCTCTGCTGCACATGTGAGGTGGCCAGCTCAGGATTATGACACAAGTTAGAGCTGTACCACTGTCAGCAAGTGAGGTAATGGTTTGCCAACCATATTAGATGTTAGTTACTCCGGTGTAATAGAGCAATTTGTGGACAGGAAACATGTTTCTCCTATTGTTTACATGAGGATCACTCTTAATATTGCAACAGCTATTGGTAAAGCCTGTTGTCATTACCCCGTATTTCTATCTACTGGCTGCTCTGTGCTTCCTACAATTTTGAATCCTGTTGGTAAACTAATAATGAGATATACTAGTCATTATATATGTAAAAAGTTAGAAATAGTGAAACCTAGATCTGATACTAAGAGTAGAGCTGCATCAAAGGAGAATTTAGCTCAAAAAAAAAATTCAAAATATTTTTGTAAAGAGGAGGGAGGGAGAATTGCTTTATTTAACTCCTTGTCTTTTATCAAGAAACTGCGTCAGCTCCCTTTCCAAACTAGACTGTGGCCTGACTGCTAGGACCACTCTAATCTTTTTATTCCATTTTGAGGAAAAAAAAATTTAATTCTTAGTTTCTGAGCTTCCAAAGCCTAGTTTCTGGATATTTAAGATAAATGTAATAGATCCTTCAAAGGTATATTTTCATTCTAAGAGCAATTTGTATGTTACCTGCTAGAACCAACATCCTTATTAGCTGCAACTCCTAGTTCCCATTTCTAAGAGTCCTTTTTTGTTGATGTGAATTCTCAGAACTTTTCTATTCTACCTTTCAAAGAAATGTTTCCATATTATTTAATGTTCAGAGGTAATCTGAATTTAATTTTCCTTTAGAAAATGTCAAGAAAATCTTAGATATTTTGTTATGTAGAGAAATACGGAAGGATCTGTAAGAGTAAATACAGAAAAAAATTTTCAAAAAGTAGATTAATTAGAAACTGGGAAAACAAGATTTATCAAAAAGAGAATTTTGAAAATATATCAGAAAAAGTCAAGAGGGGAAGGAAACTCAGATTTGATGGCCAATAATTAGTACCAATAATACTTCCTGCTTCCATTTCCTCAGTTTCCTTCTGCTTAGATCTAGTTATTCTGCAGATCAGGATTAAAATCAGAGATAAGTTAGGAGAATAAAGGAGACACAGAGAAATAGTTTAAGACGCTAAGAAAAGTAAAAAAAAAAAGGACCAGTGGCACACAGAATTATATACCAGATATCACAAAATTACAGTTTATTACTATAAAATAAAAAAATTTGGGAAAAAAATCAGAGTACAATGTGTATAAACTGAGGTTAAGCATCTATTATATGATGTGAATTGCCTGATTATATTCTTTGCCTTGCTTTTTGTTTTGTTTTGCTTTCAGTTTTTGGTTGGAATGTGCATCATTATTCACTTACTGATTTATAATGGCTTTTTGTCTTTTAAGGAAATAAGCCCTTTGTCTTTCGTACTATTTATGTAAAGGAGACTTAAGTGCTTATCTTAGAAAGAAATGGGGAAAATAAAGGTGAAACACTAGCTTCTATTATAAAGATAAAGAACTTATTGTTAACAGAAGATTCCTATGCTTCCAGTTTCCATTATCTTCTGTTTACTTCAGTTAATAATAAACTTTAAACGAAGATTTCCCTGCAATGCTGTTATGTTTGAAATTAAAACAATTAATTAAGTGGATTTAAAATTAAAGAAGACTTTGTTCTTAATTGGAAATCAATTGGCTTTGGATATATGAGAAACCAAATGGTAATGGGACACAATCAAAGTAAATTTAGATGATAAAACTTGTGTCTTCCCTTTCAGTCTGATAAAGAACAACATTAGGTGAAGATATGCCTGGAAAATACTGCACAGTTATAAAAAACTAACAGTAAAACCTCAAATTAAGCTACAACTAAAAGCATGTATTTTCAGAGCCACACTTCATAGCTTCTCTCCCCATCTGCATCACATCATTAAATCAGCACAGAGAACTTTAAAATACTATGGCAAGTAATTTAATAAGAATGACTCAATGTACCTGATCCAATTTTTCCGCTGGATAATAAAAAGGTGAATATGAGAGCATTCAAGATTTTATCCAGTCTCATGGTTTTAAATACCATGTATAAGCTGAGGTCTCTCAAATCTTCATTTTCAATCTTCACATCTCCACTATGATCCAGACACATATACAGCTGAACGGTTGCAAATAACCAACAGCTGAGCCCTTAGATTAAACTATCATTATAGACAAAATCATGTATTTGTCAGATCAATAACTAGACATCCTTAGTCCTCTCTTTTCCCCACCCTTCTCCTCCAATCCATTAGCAAGTCCTGTTTTTGCTCTCTCCTAAACATACTTTCATGTCCAATTGTTTCTCACCATTGTCCCACTGCTGAAGGCCTAGTCTCTACCACCATCCTTAGCCTTCTGCCTTGTCTGCTAATACTCTTGCTTCCTTACAGTCTGTTGCTTACACAGCACCTCATATAGTTGTCTTAAAACTTAAATCAGATCATATCACTCTTCAGCATCAACCCCGTCAGTCTTTTCCCTTTATGATTAGTCATGAAGTCAAACCTAAACTCTTTACCATAGACTCACCTCCCCAATGTCATACCCTATCACTGTGCCAGCCTTCACAGTGGTCTTTTTCCTGCCTTGGGGCTTTTGAATTTCCTGTTCTCTCTGCCTAGCACACTGCGCCCCAACATTTTCATATGACTATCTTCTTATCACTTAAGTTTCACCTTAAATGCCACCTCCTTACTTCTAGTGACTCTTTTGTCCCACCCAAATTTTTACATAGCACTTATCATTAGCTGAGGTTATATTTCTAATTTACATGTTTATTAACTATTTTCCCATAAGAAAAAGAAAGCAGGAAGGGCCCATAATGATCATGTAGTTCAACTTTCTTGTATTATGTAAGAAACTGAGGCCCTCAGAAGCTAAGTGCTTTGCCAACATACATCCACAACTATTTAGGGGAGAAACCAGAAAGGAAAATAAATACTCTTTAAACAATAATAGAACAGAATTCTTCCTGCTCCATTTCCCTATATTAAACTTTATCAATTTTTGTTTAATTCAATTATTCTTCCTTTCTCAAGATATTCAGTGGGTGAGAGAGAGAGCTCAACTCTCTCCCCACAGACATGAAGTTTCATCTATCACAGTTCTATAACAGAAGTATGTCATTTTTAAGCCTTAAGTTATATAAATACTAAGTGGATTGTATTTATATAACTATTCCTAAAGCCATGAAAAATAACTAAGATGATTTATCCAATAACTTTTGTTCAATTGGTGGTACAATTGTAGAGACGTTTTAAAATTTTTCAGAGCTTGCCACTGTCCTTTTTTTCCATGGAATAGGGAATGGTGGGAAGCTCTGAGTTAAAGCTTTCTATTGCTTTCATTACATAGTATATCATTTTAATTTAAAATCACATAGATTGTGGTGATTTGGCACCTCCTTAATTCTATATTTAAGTAGTGTGAAATTTTACTTTTGAGAATTTTAAATGTCTAAAGTGCTTATGTGCCATAGGAAATAGAGCAGAATATACATCTTTCTTTGCTGAAGAAGGATCTGGCAGTGACCTAGGACTGTCATTATGAACAAGAGTACTAATTTGCAATAGGGCAAGAGAAGGCAAAGACGCAGTAGACAGAGAAGTGTTACCCACTAGTTCTTGTAAATGCTTACTACCAGGAAATTATTTACAGGAAACTACCATCTGAAATCATCTTCTTTTGTTGTGACTTTGGTGCTTCTCCTTGGGGTGTTGAAAAATGAATGTGTATATTTGAGGGTTGTGATCAGCTGATTCAAAATAATGAACCCTTTATTCTTTGAGAAATGTTGGAAACAATTATTGTAGTTTATACAAATCATTTAGCAAGGATGCATCAATGCAAGCATGATCCACATTGTATTAGTTTCCATGTGATGTGCATAAAGGACCAGAAAGCTTAGTTTCCATCCTTGATATTTTCATTATCAACATTGCCATGCACACATAGTGCCTACTAACACCCAGATAATGGCAGCACAGTAGCCACACTTAGATGGTTATTTCTGTTAATACACAAGTAATGTAGCTGGTTTTTCAGAATTACCACAAAGCTAGTTAATGCTAATTCAACATATATTTATGTGGCTTTATAGTATGCAAAGGACTGTGTCATATATTGTGAGGGAGGGTGATATAGTTTAGGTATTTATCCCCACCCAAATCTCATGTTGAATTTTAATCCCCAGTGCTGAAAGTGGGGCCTAATGGGAAGTATTTGGATCACGGTGCCAGATTCTTCATGGCTTGGTGCTGTCTTTGTGATAATAAGTACTCATGAGAACTCATCATTAAAAATGTGTGGCACCTTCCCCCATCCCTTGCCCCCACTTTACCATCTGCCATGAGTAAAAGCTTCCTGAGGCCTCCCCAGAAGCAGATGCCAGCTCTATGTTTCCTGTATAGCCTATGGAACCATGAGTCAGTTAAACCACTTTTGTTATAAATTAGCCAGTTTCAGGTATTTCTTTATAGCAATGCAAGAAGGGCCAAATATAGAAAATTGGTACCAGGAAAGGTGTATTGCTATAAAGATACTTGAAAATGTGGAAGTGCCTTTGGAACTGGATAATAGGCAGAGGTTGGAAGAGTTTGGAGGGCTCAGAAGAAGATAGGAAGATGAGGGAATGTTTGGAACTTCTTAGAGAATGGTTAAATTGTTGTGACCAAAAAGCTGATAGTTACATGGACAATGAAGTCCAGACAGCCGAGGTTTCAGATGGAAATGAGGAACTTATTGGGAACTGGAGCAAAGGCCACGTGTGTTACGCCCTAACAAAGAGCTTTTCTGCATTCTGTTCATGCCCTAGGAATCTGTGGAAGTTTGAACTAAAGAGTGATGATTTAGGGTGTCTGGTGGAAGAAACTTCTAAGCAGCAGAATGTTCAAAATGTGGTCTGGCTGCTTCTAACAACCTATACTTAAATGAGGGAGCAAATGAATGATTTAAAATTGGAACTTATATTTAAAAGGGAAACAGAACAAAAAAGTTTGGAAAATTTGCAGCCTGGCCATATAGCAGAGAAGAAAAATCTTTTTTTGTGGGGAGAGAAATTCAAGCAGGCTCTGGAGCAACCACTTGCTAGAGATATTTGCATAACTAAAAAGGAGCCAGGTGCTACTAGCCAAGACAATGGGAAAAAGGCCTCAAAGGCATTTCAGAGACCTTCATGGCAGCCCCTCACATCACAGGCCCAGAAGCCTAGGAGGTCTGACTGGTTTCATGGGCCAGGCATACTGACTTGTGCAGCCTCAGGACACTGCTTTCTGCACACTGGCGGGCGACTCTAGTTCCAGCTCCAGCCGGGCTCAAATGGTCCCAGGTACACCTCAAGCTGCCACTTTGGAGAATGCAAGCTGTAGGCCTTAGTGTCTCCCCTGTGGTGTTAAGCCTGCAGACACAGAGAGTATGAGAGTGGTGGATTCCTGGTAGCCTTTGCCTAGATTTCAGAGGATGTATGGAAAAGCCTGGATGCCTAGGCAAAAGCCTGCTACGGGGTGGAACCCCATAGAGAACCTCTACTTAGGCAGTGCAGAGGGGTAATGTAGGGTTGGGGCCTCCATACAAAGTCCCCACTGGGACACTGCCTGCTGGATCTGTGGGAAGGGGACCACTGTCCTCTAGACCCCATAAAGGTAGATCCACCGGCAGCTTGCACCCTGAGCCTGGAAAAACCATAGGCGCTCAACAACAGTCTGCAAGAGCAGACTTGGGATATGTACACTGCAAAACCACAGGGGTGGAGCTGCCCAAGGCCTTCAGAGCCCACCCCTTGTGCCAGTATGCCCTGGATGTGGGACATGGAGTTAAAGGAGATTATTTTAAAGCTTTAAAATTCAATGAGTGCCCTGCTAGGTTTGGGATATGTGTGGGACCTGTAGTCCTTTTCTTTTGGCTGATTTCTCTCTTTCTGAATGGCAATGTTTACCCAATGCCTATACCCACTATTACATCTTGGAAGTAAATAACTTGTTTTGATTTTACAGGCTTATAGGTGGGAAGAGATGAGTCCCAGATGAGACTTTAGACTTGGATTCGGGACTTTTGAGTAACTGCTGGAATGAGTTAAGATTTTGGGGGACAGTTGGGAAGGCCTGATTGTATTTTGCAATGTGAGAAGGACAGAGACTTGGGAGTGGCCAGGGGTAAAATAACACAGTTTAGATATTTGTCTTTACCCAAATCTCATGTTGAATTTTAATCCCCAGTGCTGGAGGTGGGGCCTCATGGGAGCTGTTTGAATCACAGGGGCAGATCCCTCTTGGCTTCATTCTGTTTTCATTATAATGAGTTCTTCTAAGATCTGTTCATTTAAAAGTGTATGGCACCTCCCTCCCCACTGTTGCTGCTGCTTTTGCCACATGAAGTGCTTGATCTCACAACACCTTCTGCCAGGAGTAAAAGCTTCCTGAGGCCTCTCCAGAAGCAGATTGCCAGCACTATGTTTCCTGTACAACCTACAGAACCATGAGCCAGTTACAATTCTTCCATTATAAATTAGCCAGTTTCAGGTATTTCTTTACAGCAATGCGAGAACAGCCTAATACAGAAAGATAAAAGAATAGTAACAGATTTTTAAAACCTGGCTTCTTTCTAAAGATAGAAAAATTCCCTAAAGGGAAATATAATAATATACAATTAGTCACAATTTAAGTTCACATGTGATAATTTTTCTATGAGAAGTATCAACAAAATGAAGAGGGAATTTAGAAAGGAGACCACAACATGAGGAAAGGATAAGTAGAAAGGTCTCCTTGAAAGTGTATGGCATTTGTGCAATGTCTTGAGGGATGAGGGTATTTGTATGGACATGGAAGTGAAAAGGGCTGTGGGAAGGGAACATTCCAGATGGAGAGAAGCATAATTAAAGAAATATAGGCAGAAAATCCTAGAGTTTATTTGGGAAGTGGGAAATAACTCACTTTGGCTGGCAATTAGGGCATATACTATGGGTGATTCAGACAAAGGTCATAGAGCCAAGCAAAATAGTTTGGACTTAATCCTCTAAGTAATAGGGGACTACTGGACTTTTTGAGCCGGAAGGTTATATACTTTGAGTTGTGCATTGTGAAAATTAATCTGGCAGCAGTAGACAAAATTGACTGGAGTAGAGAAAGACTAAAGACCAATTAAGAGGCTATTTTGATAGTTAAGCTGAGAGGTAATGAGAGAAGGGACCATGGGAATGGAACAGAAAAGACCAATTCAAGAGATAAGGGAAGTCAAACCAGTGGGATTTAGTGATTAATTGTAGGTGGAATGGCAAAATGGAGAGAAGATAAGGGTGATAAGAAGGTTTTAACCTTGAGAGACTGAGAAATTGATACTGGCAGAAATAATAAATTCCATGGGATCTAGTGGAACTCTTTTGGAATTCTATTTGAAACTTGACTTCAGTCATGCTTGAGATATTGTGCATCTGGAAATGCAGACCCAGAGCACAGGAAAATGGTCAGAACTGGTGATAAAGTTTGTAGGCTTGTGCACGTGTGTGCATGCATGAGTGTGTGTGATATAAATTTAAGTAAATCTTTGTTGCCATTGTAAGAGTCAGTTAACTCTCTAAAGGAGAAACAATGAACATCCCTTATCCACAGGAGATGATACAAAGAAAGGAGGGAGTTGTCAGAGAAGTTGGAGGATCATCAGTAGACTAGCATCTCTAAATTAAGCACATTCTTCTTTTTTTTTAATGAAAAGAGGCACTGACAGCACAAGATTTTTTTTGAGATTGTGCCTTAGACTTTCTTTAATTTCAAAAGGGACTTTTGAATATACTTATTATCCTTATCCTAATAACAGCATAATTAAGTGAAATGATAAGAAATCTTAAAACATCAGAGGTAAATATTCTTTTTCTATGGAGAAAACTTGGTTACATATTTTACCAGCAACTTCAGTATACCAGTGAATTTTGCATTCATTATTCAACAGGTATTTGCAAACATGGAAGACACTTAATATGAAATTTTTCCTGACTGGAGAAATAGGAGTGGAGGCTATCAGTGGGGGAAATAAAAACTATGCCACCAATTCTTTGATCCAGAGGTGTCTGTTTAACTGGCAAGGGATGTAAGTAAATAATTCAAAGACTTTAGACTACATATAGTGGCACACATACATTCCTAATGTAAGTTCTTAACTCACAGTGGTAAACTATTACCACAAGTGACCAGAGTGTATTTTCCTCTTCATCTCCTTCTTTCTTGATGTAATCACTGTTAACTAATCACTTCTTGAAATTATCTAACTCGTTAATTTAGTATTGATTCAGTAAATATTTGCCTAGAGTTTATGATGTGCCAAGCATCTTTTCAAGTCTTGTGAATTTAGCAGTGAACAAAGTAGACAAAAATTCCTGCATTCATGTAATTTTTATTCTAGTGGAAGTTTACACCAATGAATGTTAATAAAAAAGGTAACAGACAAATTTTTATCTATGTCTAATATTACATCACATACTTGTTTTCCCGTACAATTTGCTAATGTTTCACATTTATATATTTGTGTCCTAGATAGTGGTTGTTCTTTTTAACAGTCTAGTCATGTGCTCCAGGGAACTGAATCAAGTGGTTGTTGTTGCTGTTTTGTAGTAAAGAACAACTGAAAGTCTCCTTGTCTCTTTCTTATTTCCTTCTATAAAATTATTGCCACTGTTTTGAGTAACAGTCTTGTTTTCTGACAAGGTAAAAACATCATAATGAGCCAGGTGAGATGGCATGTACCTCTAATTCCAGCTACTTGGAAGGCTGAGCTGTGAGGCTGAGGCAGGAGGATCACTTGAGCCCAGGAGCTCACCAGTCTGGGCAACATAGCAAGACCCTGTCTCAAAAAAGAAAATTAAATTAAATTAAAAGTTTTTGAAAGTGTTTGGGAAAAATAAGTGTTATATATTAATAATATAGAAAAAAGAAGTAAAACTAAAAAAATGAAAAGGAATAATACAATTAGAAAATGTCCATTTTGCAAAATGTAATATAGTAACTAATCTAGATAGTAATCATCAATGCCTTCTAAAACCATTAGGTAAAAGGTTGATGGCAACTTTACAATAGATGGATTAACCTCTCGATCAATTTTAATATCATTAAAAGTAGGAAAATCAGACATTATGTGTCTCTTAATGTGATGTAATAAGGGATACATAGAGCCACTTATGTTTTTTCCCCAAATAAAATATTTCCCCAAATAAAATACAATAAAATGAAACCTGACTCCTTGAATTTAATTAAGCATGTAGATTCGATCACTTATATAGAAAATAAATCCAGAAAAATATGCTAAATGAGCATCCCAAAATAAAAATCTATAATAGAACCTGAGAAATTCTATGAGACAAATAACCTAGAGTGGAGTGGAGGGGGATATTTAGAAAGAGTAGGAAAAGGAAACGTGTTACGGATTAGAAGAAATTTAAGACAGGTATCGATCAAATGCAATGTTTAAAATTTGTTTGAATTCAGACTCAAATACACCAACAATAAAAAGGATATTTTTGAGAGAACTGGGAAGGTTTAAACATGGACTAGATATTAGCTGATATAAAATAATAATTGCTGAGTTTGTTAGGTGTGATTAATGTTACTGTGATTACGTTTTTTAAAATTTTCTCATTAGAAAGACTAAAGCACGTGTGGATAAAACGATATGCTGTGTGAATTTTTATTTAAAATACTCTAGCAGCAAAAGAAATGAAAAATAAGAAATAGATGAAAGATCTTCAAAAGTTGTGTAATTGTGAAGCATGGAACTTCTTTCTTGTACTTTCTTTTTAAACCTTTTCACTATAAAAAAGATTTTAAAAATAGTTTCACATATATTTTACAATAAAAGTGCTATTTTAATCTTTGCAATTGTTTTGTCATGTTAATCTATGAAGCTCCTTTTGGTATTATTCTTAAGAATAGGAGTATAGTGTCAAACAGGGATTAGAAAGCTAATGCTTTCCATTCTCATGAATGGCAGCTAAAGAGAAAGGTGACAAAAATACTTCAAAATGACAAAGGATATAATAAACTGGAGTTGAAAGAAATTGGAGGGATGAAATATTCTAAGCCATGTCCATATTACATCATATCCAAAGATTTCTGATAAACTACCCTCTCCTTTTTACTCCTTGATTATCATCCATTTTAAACTTGCTTAAATTCCTTGCCTGAAACTGACAGTTGGTTTGGTGATGTCTGGACGCTCTAAATCATCTTTACAATGTCAGTACACTATTCATCAGCATGAGGTGACCTTTTCCCAGAATACAATCTTCCTGCATATGTCTCAGCAAATGTTGACAAAGGTATATGAGAACAAGAGTGATAATAAGATTTATCATATTGAGGCACTGGGTAATAGAAATTCTTCTGTAAATTAACAATCATAGCTGGAACTATTTGTGAATTTGTACAGATGCCAGCACAATCTAACATCTGTCCCAGCAGACAAAAAATACAGAATTTATTTGATATAGTCTCCCCTCATTCCTGAAAAGGTCACTTGCTCTTTAACCTGCTATGTGTGATTAAACTAGCTTTGAGCAGATGACAATGCTGTACTAGAAATTAAGGCTCGCTGTTCAGATGACACTGACAGCAAAGGCAGCACTTGTCTTATCTTCTAAACAGTTTCAGAATATGAAAACTAAATGCCCCAAATGCTTACCACTACTATTAATAACCCATACATACAAACATAAATCAAGAACCGTTACCCATCTAACATTGTTATGTTATGTATCTCTATTTACAGAATGGGTTCACTTTCACTTGAAAATATTCCATAGCTCTAAATAATCTTCCTGAGTTTCTTCCAGCGAACTCTGTTTTATTCCCTCCAGCAAAAGATGAGGCTACGTGAATCTGGTGGCTCTGAAATTTGGCTTTTCGGCAATGAATAAAACACTTTCAGTCTAATTTCTAATAAATTGGGCTGTATTTATTTCATGCGAAGATATATGTATCCTTGCAGGAATAAAAGGGAAGAGCATTATTATTTTTACTTCTGTTCAGTCTGCCAACTTAAGTTTGTCCTCCAGCAAACAAAACTATGATGGTAATTATGCAAACAAGAATGTGATTTAAAACCATGCATTTTTCCCATCTTGATCATCTTCTCTGTGCAACACTTTGAACTAAGTAATCAGAAGATGCAAATATAGGCCTACAGCCTTCCCTAGGTTCACAGTTTAGCAAAAGAGTCCAAGACAGTTATATTAGGTAATTTTGATATAAAGCAGAAAGTGATTTTTTTTTGCAAAGCCATAAAGTGTTATTTTTTTTTTTTAAGTTATCAGGCTAGGAACAGTGGCTCACACCTGTAATCTCAGCACTTTGGGAGGCCAAGGCTGGTGGACAGCCAGAGTTTAGGAGCTCAAGACCAGCCTGAACAACATAGTGAGACTCTGTCTCTACACAAAATAAAAAATTAGCCAGATATGTTGGTACACACCTATAGTCCCAGCTATGCTACTTGGGAGGCTGAGGTGGGAGGATGGCTTGAGCCCAGGAGGCAGGGTTTGCAGTGAGCCATGATCACCCCATTGCACTCCAGCCTGAGTGACAGAACAAAACTCTGCCCCCTCACCAAAAAAAACAAAACAAAACAAAAAACTCAAAAGCCAAAAACACATAAATCAACAAAACAATATCTATTATCACATAGATCAATAGAACAGAAGAGATCATCCCATGCCACATATACGTGGTCAAAAAAGTTATAATGAAGAAATAACTACAATGAAGAAAGGCTAGTTTTTACAACAAAAGTAATCATGATTCATACACAAAATTAACTCATAATGGGTCAGGGATCCGAATGCAAAACCAAAAACTGTAAAATTTCTAGAAGAAATCAAAGGAGAAAATATGTGTGGCCTTGGATTTGGTAAGGATTTCTTATATATGGTACGAAAAGTACAGTCCATTGATAAAAAGCAACTTCATCAAAATTTTAAAACTTCTTCTCTTTGAAAGAAACTTAAAAATAAGGAAAAGGCAACCTAGAGACTTGGAAAATATTTATGAAACATGTATCTAATAAAGGACATGTATCCAAAATATTTCAAGTACCCTCAAAACTAAATAATGAGAAAATAAACCACCCAATTAAAATAAAAAAAAAGTATGGGCAAAGATTTGGACAGGCACTAAAGCAAATAAGATACATGGATGGAAAATAAGGACACGAAAAGATATTCAACATCATTAATTATTCACTAAGAAAATGCAAATTAAAACCACAGTAAGATACTATTACACATCTATCAGAATGCCTACAATGAAAAAGAAAAAAAATTGACAATACCAAGTGCTTGCAGGGATGTAGAGCAACTGTAACTCTCACATACTGCTACTATGAATACAAAACAGTCGTGAAAAATAATTTGGCATTTCTTATAAAGTTAAACTTACCATGCAATTTATAAATTCTACTCTGAGATATTTACTCAATAAAAATATTAACATATTTATACAAAAAACTGTATACACATGTTTATGACGGCTATGCTTATCTAAAAAGTAGAAGCAATCTAAATGCCTTTTGGTGAATGGATAAACAAATTGTACATTTACACAACGGAATCATATTCAGCAAGAAAATGGAATTAACTAGTGATACACAATATAATAGGCATGAAAATCAAATGCATTTTGCCAAGTGTATGAAGCCAGCCTCAAGAGACTACACACTATGACTCCATTTACATGACATCCTAAAGAGGCAAAACTATAGCTACAGAAAACTCATCAGCTGGGTTTGGCAGTAGGGAGGAAAGATTTCTTACAAAGAGTGCAAGAGAATTTCTGAAGGATGAAACTGTAATATATCTCGATCCTGGCTACATGACTATATGCATTTGTCAAAAGTCAGAGCTAACACTGAAAAGGATGCTGTGAGTTCAGAGGAAGAAGAAGAAATCCCAGCTGGTCAAGAAAAGTTGCATGGAGCAGTAGGCAATGAAAGTTATGGCAACTCGTGTTTGGTAAAGCCCTGAGGGAATAAACTGCAGAATATATGCAGGGATCAAAGTGAAAAAGAGCAGTAAAACACCTGAATGAAGAATGCTGGCTAGGACGATACTGTAGAAGGCTTTTAGTGACATGCCAAAGAAATTAAAGCCATCTGTGTAACGTCATGGTAAACACTGGAGAATTTTAGGTTAGAAAATACATACATCTGTACTAGGAAGAAGGAATCATTCAAGGTTTTTCAAGATGTCATGTGCATCAGAGATTCTGTTACTGATTTAGTAAATGAATGATGGCCCAGAAATCTGCATTTTTAACAGAATCTCTAACTTCATCCCCATTTACAGATTTGTTCCTTGAATATTACAGGCCCTATGAGCAGATGGAGCCACTGGGTACTTATGTGCCATGATCACATATATATTCATTGCTTACAGCTATTTCTGTATGTGTCTGATATAGTAGAAAGAACGCTGAAGTAGGAATCAGTGACTTCAGTCAATATCTTGCTGGATACTGTGTGACTCTGGGGCAGCTTCAAACTTCTCAGAGCCTCAAGTTATCACCAATGTGCATGTTAATTAAAATGCCTACCCTCTCTGCCTCAGGGTGACTTAGATTCATTAGAATGTTGTTTGTGAAAAGCCTTTGAAGTAATCTACCAAGTGCTATACAAATGTGAGACACTTTCATCCCTTTGGGTTAAATCATTACATCTCCAGACAACCCCCTTTAAATGTAAATACGTTGTATAAGTAGGTGTAACATTAGCACATATATTAGAATTTTAGCTATATGTTAAAGTATGCAGTTTTTTTTTCTGAAAAATCTGAAATTGAAATGATGGGGAGCAAGGCTGTTAAATTTGATGGGAGAGGCAGAAGGAACCAGAAAGAAAGGAAGAAGAGAACTGGGAAAAATTCAACCCATGGATCTGAAGATCAGGGCTAGGGAAGTTACATAGTGTGAGGTGCAAAAATAGACATGAAAGGATCCGAAAGCCAACAGGCTTACTTTAAGCTGCTGCCTAGGCCTGGTCCTGATACCCCAGGGGAAAACATCTGTGTCAGAAGATACAACTTTTTCTTTTCCCAGAGGCAAACAATGCAGGGAGCGGTAGACATAGCTGAGCAACTTATTGCAACATTTCATTTACACACACACACACACACACACACACACACACGGCCCAGAGGATACTATATGGATGTACCAAGCTGTGTGGAACACAAAACATACAAAACACCTGAGAGCTGTATCCCTATTAGGTTGAAAATACCATTCTGTGTATGAATTCCCCACTGCTCTACATCCACTAGGCCCTTAAATTTATATATCCCCAGTATACTGAGGTAAGAATAAATTACAACCTACTGTTGTTACTCAGTTTCTACCTTAGGCCCTTCCCATGTTAGACCCTCCTAATAAAGTGAACTGGATTATAACACTGCCAGGAAGAACCTGCGGTCACCAGCTTTCACAGATGCTCCAAGGCATTAAGCCTCCAGAAAGTGGGGAAAGGATGTAAGTCAAACCTGGCTTTATAGCTTGTTAGCATTCCCAATTTCATCCTCTCCTCTCGTGTAATTCAGTGTGAAAGCTCTTATGTGTGATATGAGGAAAAATCAGAACTCTATTAATAGGGAGGATAATGCCACTCTCAAGGAAGGAGGCTGCTCTGATGAAGATGCATTTCTGATCACTAACATTACATGACACATGCTTGGGGTTTACATGCGCTTCTCAATTACAAAGATGCACATTCACCTTTGGAATTCCCAGCCTTGAAAACTGCTGCATACTCTCAAATCTCCCATTAATTATTACCTACCCAAATAGGAACTTTCTTCAGCAGAGGTACATTTAGATCTTCCGCTAAGCATTCTGCCTTCCATCTCTGAAGGCTTCTAAGCAAACAAGAACTCTGAGAGGAATACAAGAAAATCCTAGGGAAAAAAGTCTTTTGCCAACAATTACCTATGTGGATTTGTATTCAACCACTGTTTCTCAGAGGAGAAATGAGTTCCAAATGTAGAATTAATTTTGCACAAAGCCTCTGTCTTGTCTCCATATTCATATCTGATATTTGGCAGTAAGACACAAATTCATCTCTTTAGAATTCATTTTCTTTCTCTTAAACATTAATTAATTAATGAAAAATTTCTAAAAGGTAGAATATTCTCATAGTAGCAAATGTGAAGGGTACAAAAGAAAGGTACAAAAGGTAGAGAGAAAAAAATAGGTCTCTTTCATTCTAGTCCTCAGCCACTTGTTCCTTTTACAGAAACTAGTACTCTTGCCAATTTCAGATAGTATTCACATACAAACCTGTATGTATATGTATATATGTATTTCCTTTCTTTTTCTCTGTTTACTCAAATAGTAATACATTAGAGATTCTTCACTTTGCTTCCTTGCTATTATCCATGTCTAGTCATCTGTCTTTACCTCTGTATGATGACAATTTTTGTCTTCTGTGTGAGTTATATACATAAATATCCTTGTTATTTTTAAAAGCTGCATAGTGTTTCCTTGTGTGACAAAATTTAACTGACCCTCCATTCACAGCCACATACATTGTTATTAACCTCTTATATCAGACAACCGAATATCATTGTGACAGTATCATTTTATAACTGGCGCTAGAATATATCATTTTATATTTATATTTATAAAAATATATCATTTTTGGCCAGGTGCGTTGGCTCACGCCTGTAATCCCAGCACTTTTGGAGGCCAAGGCGGGTGGATCACGAGGTCAGGAGATCAAGACCATCCTGGCTAAAATGGTGAAACCCCGTCTCTACTACAAATACAAAAAATTAGCTGGGCATGGTGGCGGGCGCCTGTAGTCCCAGGTACTCGGAAGGTTGAGGCAGGAGAATGGCGGGAACCCGGGAGGCGGGGCTTGCAGTGAGCCGAGATCGTGCTACTGCACTCCAGCCTGGGGGACAGAGCGAGACTCCGTCTCAAAAAAAAAAAAAAAAAAAAAAAAAAAAAATATATATATATATATATATATATATATATATAAAATTTTATAACGGGTGCAAGAAAAATAAATTTATAAGAAGTTATATAATAATTTATGATAGCTATACTTATAATATCCAAAAAGTAGAAACAATCGAATTGACCTTCAACTGGTGATGGATGAACAAACTGGATTCACGCAATGGAATCATATTTAGCAAGTAAATGGAGTTAACTAATGATACACATTATCACTGATGATTTTCAGTTTGGATAAATGTTGCTGAATGTCACTCCTTAAATATTGTACTAATTCACACTCGCACCACTAAGAACTAAAATTTTCTATTTCCTTGTTTTCAAACTTTTTGATCTTTGATGATTAGATAAGTGAACGTTAGAATTTTTAAGTTAGCTTGAGTTGCCTTTCTCCTAAAATAAAAGAGATTAAACATTTTCAAATACTTAAAAACTGTTTTATTTCTTTTCTATGAACTGTCCATTTTTCTGCTTATTTTTCTATTGTGTTGTTGGTTTTGTTGATTCGAAGAAGCTTCTTCTATATGAAATTTTAACTGTGTTGCAAGTAGTTTTTCATTTTTTTAAAATTGTAGTTGTCTTTTTGATGTTGCCTTTTCTCTTCTAATTTTTATTGCTATGTTAACATTTTTATGACTTGTAGTCTTTGTGACATATTTAGAATGTACTCCCATGCCAAATTTATTTTTTAAATTACCCCATAACATTTTTTACTGCTTTTATGGTTTTGAGTTCTTTATATACAAATTTCACCTGAAATTTATTTTTCATATTGGAAATTAGGGAGGTATTCATAAAAAATTTTCCCATGCATGTATATCTATTTGTCCTAACATCATTTATTGAATAACTAATTTTCCATGATATGAAGTGCCACTTATGTGGTAACTATATTCCCTTATATCTTTTGCTTTATTGACAGAATTCTAATCTGTTCCATTAATCCAGCTGTTTACTTTTTGTTAGTTCCACACTACTTTAACTTCATAATAGGCTTAGTATTTGGCAAGTCAAATTCTCTTTTCTTCTCTTTTCCTCTTTCCCCTCTCTCTCTCTCACTCCTAATTTTTTTCAAAATATCCTTTGCATTCTTGCATGTTTTATTTTCCAAATGAACTTTAAAGCCAGTTTTTCATATAAACATTTTATTGGTATTTTATTTGTACAATATTAAGTTATAGATTAATAATTTTCTACGGATTTTCAATAAGTGAAGTACTAGTATAATATGGAGTATTAAGAAACGGTCCTACCACAACACACCTGGGACACAGATTCACTCAGATATTTGTAGACTCCCCTCTGGCCTCTTTTTCTTCCTCTAATTCCCTGGTTGGGCATTGTGTTCATGTGTCCATGCAATGTTTTGGAGAAATGTAGACAGGAACACATTTCCTCCATGGGTGAGAACTCTGGGAGGCTTCATAGCACTTCCAATATCAGAACCATCAGAACTAGCACAAATGAGCCATTTTTTATAAAGCTTAGCAGGATTTCTGGCAAACCAGAGTAGGGAGGTGGGTGAGGAAGAAGATGGGAGAAGAGGAAAGACGAAAAGGATGGTCCATATCTCATATCCTCAGCTTCAAATTTATACTTTTTATGTTATCTCCAAATGAAGTTTTAGCACAGATATTGCATTTTAAAGTAATAATTGATAAATGGAAATATTAAAAATATGCCATAGTTCTTTAATGCTATTTCAGTATTTCTCTCCCTCCTCTTTTTCTCCTTTTTCCCACTCTTCTCCCTTCTTTGTAATGTAAACTTCAAAAAATGAAGGTGCTCGGGTAGTGTTTGAACTTTAATAGACTATATCTATATATGCAGTAGAATACACTAATGCACTTGAGGAATTTTTTCACATATTTGGCAAAAGAAAAATAAAATCAGAGCTTTGAAGAAATCTTTTCGCTTTAGGCACTTTCTGTAAGCCCTGGAAAAAAATTGTTTTACAAAGTGGGAATAGAAGTAGGGAAAATTAAATACATATTCATTACATCAAGGAGCCATACACATTAATGGATGGTATGAAATCAGAATCAAATGGGAGAGATGGCTGATTTAGTATGTTTGATTTAATGTTTTTGTTAGGAAATTAAATGCAAACAAGGAAGGACTAACCTGTAAACATGAACATTTGATATACCCTACACATTTCACCTTACTTTACATGATTTTGTACACATTTAATATGATGTGTCGATTACTTTTTATTATGGCCAGATGATGGAAAAAAACGATGGTTCTGAAACTGCTAAAAGAAAATGCTAGTATCTATAGTTAGTGGTAGACAGGCCTAAATTTTGGAATGAAAATAAAGACCACAATGTAGTATAGCATTTTACCAGGGAAACATACATTTCCTTGTTTTTATAGATGTTCTCGATTCTAGATAAAGCACATTTCTAAATTTTCTTGTAGTTCAGGGCTGTACAACAAATTATTAAAGTAATTTTTGGCATTATCCTAGGATTAACAAATCTTCAACTATCTAAACCTCCTTTTATGTGATAAAATATGTCAAGAAGCAAATTAGTTTTTTTAATGGTTATTTTAAAATTTTTCTATGGTTGACACATCTAAAGAAAAACTTCATTGATTTGGGATCAACCGATGATTCTTTGATTTGCCCTTCTCTTACATGGACAGTTTCCTTTCCATGAAGAAATACGATGATTACCATGGAAAACAATGTCCTATTGAAGAGCAAGGGTAGTAGAAAGTACTCTTAGGTCATAGCACTAGGATAATATTACATAATTATCAAAACTGATCATATTTGCCCATTTCCTTCAGACATTTGGAGGCACAGAGCTTCTCTAACAAGTGGAGCAAACTGTATAAGAAAACAGCCCATCTAACAACTATCAGTCCATCTTTAAGAACTGGAAAAAACTGTTTAGCAGAATTTTTTGTGGACAAAACCTTAGTTTTAATTTGTTTTCTGCTCTAATTTCTTTTTACTCCAATTTCCTTATTTATTTTTATTATGTTGTGGATATCTTGTGACGGATATTTCCTGATTCAGAATTTCTAAACAATATTCATACCTTACGGGAACCACGAGAAGATAGAATAATGGCAAAAATATTTTTATTATGCAATAAATATATATTGATCTAAAATTTTAACCATGAAGTGAGGTAAAGAGTGGGAAGAAACTCACTCCCATGAAGTAACCACTGTTAACAATTTAACACTTTCTAGTGTAACCTTCTAGAAATCATCTATGCATTTAAAAATAAATATTCATATGCAAATATCTTACTTTTTATCTTCAACTTTTATTTTAAGTTCAGGGGTACATGTGCAGGATGTGGAGGTTTCTTATGTAGGTAAATATGTGCCATGGTGGTTTGCTGCATGGATCATCCCATCACCTAGGTATTAAACCCAGCATTAATTAGCTATTCTTCCTGATGCTCTTCCTCCCTCTACCCTCAACCCCCGACAGGCTCAGTGTATGTTGTTTCCCCTGGGAACGAATGAGAACAAATGTGACCATAGGTTCTCATTGTACAGCTCCCACCTATGAGAACATGTGGTGTTTGTTTTTCTGTTCCTGCATTAGTTTGCTGAGGATAACAGCTTCCAGATCCACCCATGTCCCTGCAAAGGACATGATCTTGTTCCTTTTTATGGCCACGTAGTATTCCATGTTGTATATGTACCACATTTTCTTTATCCAGTCTATTATTGATGGGCATTTTGGTGATTCCATGTTATATGCATGCATGTATCTTTATAACAGAATGATTTATATTCCTTTAGGTATATACCCATTAATGGGATTGCTGGGTCAAATTGTATTTCTGCTTCTCGATGTTTGAGAAATCACCACATTGTCCTCCACAATGGTTGAACTAATTTACACTCCCACCAACAGTGTAAAAGCCTTCCTTTCTCTCAGCAACCTCCCCAGCATTTATTGTTTCTGGACTTTTTAATAATTGCCATTCTGACTGGCGTGAGATGGTATCTCATTGTGGTTTTGATTTACATTTCACTAATGATCAGTGATGTTGAACTTTTTTTTCATGTTTCTTGGGTGCATGAATGTCTTCTTTTGAGAAGTGTCTGTTCATGTCCTTTGCCCACTTTTTAATGGGGTTGTTTTTTTTTCGTGTAAATTTAATTTTTTGTAGACTCTGGAAATAAGACATTTGTCAGGTGGATAGATTGCAAATATTTTCTCCCATTCTGTAGATTGTCTGTTTACTCTATTGATAGTTTCTTTTGCTATGCAGAAACACTTTTAGCTTAATTAGATCCCATTTATCAATTTTTGCTTTTGTTGCAATTGCTTTTGGTTTTTTTGTCATGAAATCTCTGTCCATGTCTATGTCTTGAGTGGTATTGCCTAGATTTTCTTCTAGGATTTTTATAGTTTGGGGTTTACAATCAAGTCTTTAATCCATCTGGAGTTAATTTTTGTGTAAGGTGTAAGGAAGGGGTCTAGTTTCAATTTTCTGCACAATGGCTAGCCAGTTCTCCCAGCACCATTTATTAAATAGGGAATCCTTTCTTCATTGCTTGTTTTGATCAGGTATGTCAAAGATCAGAGGGTTGTAGGTATGCAGTCTTATTTCTGAGTTTTCTACTTTGCTCCATTGGTGTATGTTTCTGTTTTTGTACCAGTACCATGCTGTTTTGGTTACTGTAGCCCTGTCCTATAGTTTTAAGTCAGGTAGTATGATGCTTCCAAGTTTGTTCTTTTTGCTTAGGATTGTCTTGGCTATTTGGGCTCTTTTTTGGTTCCATATGAATTTTTAAATAGTCTTTTCTAATTCTGTGAAGAATGTCAATGGCAGTTTAATGGGAATAACATTGAATCTATAAATTACTTTGGGCAGTAGGGTCATTTTTACAACAGTGATACTTCCTATCCTTAAGAATGGAGTGGTTTTCCATTTGTTTATGTCCTTTCTGATCTGATTTTTTTGAACAGTGGTTTGTAGCTCTCTTTAAAGAGATCCTTCACTTCCCTTGTTAGCTGTATTTCTAGGTATTTTCTTCTTTTTGTGGCAATTGTGAATGGAAGTTCATTTGTGACTTGGCTTTCTGCTTGCCTGTTTTTGATGCATAGCAATGCTAGTGATTTTTGCACATCGATTTTGTATCCTGAGACTTTGCTGAAGTTGTTTATCAGCTTAAGAAGGTTTTGGGCTGAGACAATGTGGTTTTCTAGATACAGGATCATGTCATCTGCAAATAAAGATAATTTGACTTCCTCTCTTTCTATTTGAATACCCTTTATTTTTTCTCAGCTGAAAGCTGATTGCCCCGGCCAGAACTTCCAGTACTATGTTGAATAGAAGTATGAGAGGGCATCCTTGTCTTGTGCCAGTTTTCAAGGGGAATGCTTCCAGGCTGTGGGTTTGTCATATATGGCTCTTATTATTTTGAAGTATGTTCCTTTAATACCTAGTTTATTGAGAGTTTTTGTTATGATACAAAGGGTTGTTGAATTTTATTGAAGACCTTTTCTACATCTCTTAAGATAATCATGTATTTTTTGTCTTTAGTTCTATTTATGCGATGAATTACATTATTGATTTGCATATGTGGAACCAAACTTGCATCCCAGGGATGAAGCCAACTTGATCCTGGTGGACAAGCTTTTTCATGTGCTGCTGGATTTGGTTTGCCAGGATTTTATTGAGGAATTTTGCGTCGATGTTCATCAGAGATATTGGCCTGAAATTTTCTTTTTTGTTGTTGTTGTCTCTTCCAGGTTTTGGTATCAGGATGATGCTGGTCTCATAAAATGAGTTAGGGAGAAGTCCCTCCTTCTCAATTGTTTGGAATAGTTTCAGAAGAAATGGTACCAT
This sequence comes from Homo sapiens, assembly GCF_000001405.40. Classification (NCBI taxonomy): domain Eukaryota; kingdom Metazoa; phylum Chordata; class Mammalia; order Primates; family Hominidae; genus Homo; species Homo sapiens. The sequence continues at coordinate 86,661,596 of NC_000005.10, forward strand.
CTCCTCTTTGTACCGCCGGTAGAATTCAGCTATAAATCTATCTGGTCCTGGGCTTTTCTTTTTTTAGTTGGTAGGCTATTTCTTACTGCCTCAATTTCGGAACTTGTTATTGGTTTATTCAGGAATTCTACTTCTTCCTGCTTCAGTCTTGGAAGGGTGTATGTGTCCATGAATTTATTAATTTCTTTTAGATTTTCTAGTTTATGTGTATAGAGCTGTTTATAGTAGTCTCTGATGGTTGGTTGTATTTCTGTGGGGTCAATGGTGATAGCCCTCTTATCATTTCTAATTGTGTCTATTTAGTTCTTCTCTCTTTTCTTCTTTATTAGTCTAGCTAGTATTATCTATTTTATTAATTTTTTTAAAAAAACAGCTGCTGGATGTGTTGATGTTTTGAAGGTTTTTTTTGTGTCTCTGCATTCTCCAGGTCTGCTCTGATCTTGGTTATTTCTTGTCTTCTGCTAGCTTTGAGGTTTGTTTGCTCTTGCTTCTCTAGTTCTTTTAGTTGTGAAGTTTGGTTGTTAACTTCAGATCTTTCTAGCTTTTTGATATGGGCATTTAGTGCTATAGATTTCCCTCTGAACACCGCTTTAGCTACATCCCAGAGATGCTGGTACATTTTCTCTTTGTTCTAATTAGTTTCAAAGAACTTCTTGATTTCTGCCTTAATTTCATTATTTACCCAGTTGTCATTCAGGAGTAGGTTGATCAATTTCCTTGTAGTTTTGTGGTTTTGAGTGAATTTCTTAAACTTGAGTTTTAAACGGATTGTGCTGTGGTCTAAGAGACTGTTTGTTATGATTTCAGTTCTTTTGCATTTGCTGAGAAGTGTTTTACTTCCAAGTATGTGATCAATTTTTGAGTGAGTGCTGTATGGCAATGAGAAGAATGTATATTCTGTTGATTTGGGTTGGAGAGTTCTGTAGATATCTATCAGGTCCACTTGATCCAGAGCTGAGGTCAGGTCCTGAATATCTTTGTTAATTTTCTGTCTTGGTGATCTGTCTAATATTGACAGTGGGGTGTTAAAGTCTCCCACTATTATTGTGTGGGAGTTTAAATCTCTTTGTAGGTCCCTAAAAATTTGCTTTATAAATCTTGGTGCTTCTGTATTGGGTGCATACATATTTAGGATAGTTAGCTCTTCTTGTTGAATCGAACACTTTACCATTATGTAGTGCCCTCCTTTGTCTTTTTTGATCTTTGTTGATTTAAAGTCTGTTTTGTCAGAAACTAGGATTGCAACCCCTGCTTTTTTCTGTTTTCCATTTGCTTGGTAATTTGTCCTCCATCCCTTTATTTTGAGCCTACATGTGTCTTTGACCCATTAGATGGGTCTCTTGAAGAGAGCATACCAATGGGTCTTGGTTCTTTATCCAGCTTGCCATTCTGTGTCTTTTAGTTGGAGCATTTAGCCCATTTACATTTAAGGTTAATATTATTACATGTGAATTTGATCCTGTCATGATGATGTTAGCTGGTTATTTTGCAGACTTGTTTACGTGGTTACTTCATAGTGTCACTGGTCTTTGTACTTCGTTGTGTTTTAAAAATATTGTATGCTTCACAAACTTGCGTGTCATCATTGCACAGGTGCCATGCTAATCTTCTCTGTATCATTCTAATTTTAGTATATGTGCTGTCAAAGTGAGCACTGAAATATCGTAATAATATAAGTGAGATCATATAATACCTACTATACTGTTTTCTTTTTACACTTATAAGCATCTTCCAAATTAGTATTTATACTCTTATGTCATTTTTAAGACAGTTACTAACTCTTGAATGGTATAGATATAATTTATTTAAGTAATTCCCAGGTATGTATTCCAACTTTCAATTTTTCCAGCAATGGTGAAACATATATAATTTGCTGTTCCAATTCTACAGTTATAGAATTATATGTTGAAATTGGGTTTACAGTAAGATTCTATTTTAGTAGCATAAGGTAAAGTAAAATGATTCTATATTAGTAGCATAAGGTAAAGTATTTTCAAGTCTGGGAAACAATAACGGTAAACTTATATGAGGGAAAAAATCTGTTTTTTTTTCTTTTTACTATATTTAACATCAGTAACAACAGTAACTCTCAGACTAAAATAAAACACATTGTAATTAACTTAAAGAAAATAGCATGTAAAAAAGGAATCAGGTGAATGCTTTCCTCACTTTTTAATGGTGCCGATTTTACTTGATGAGTTGTTAACATTTTCAGCAACTGTCAGACAGTGGGTATGAAATGCAGGGTTGAAAGCTCTGGTCAGGATTTGGGGTTTACAGACTCTTGTTCTTTTTCCTCAAAGGGCTAAGGCTGAAATTTCTTGTCACCCTTCAGTTTGACAATAAAATGAAGTCAATCTTGACTTCATGTTTCTCTATTGAGTTAATAAGTATACTACATTTAAAAAACAGGATGGAATCCTTCCAATAGTTTAGTTAAGTTTTTCTAAGTGATTGGGAGTACTGCATATTGCTAAATGGTCTCTCAACTTAATCCATAATAACTTCAGATGTGTCTGCTCAAACCAAACTCAGATGACTTAAACCCCAGGGCTCTCATTAGAGAAAGCCCTCCAGATTTTACTACATAGCACCGTGGTTTTCCAACTGCAGTCCTATGCAAGGGCTCACAGGCATGGGTGATTCTAGAAGAATCAATTTTCTGACTTCCAAGGTAGTCCTTCCTAAAACAGACCTGCCTGAGAATGAGCTTTCTTTTAGGTACTGCCCCACACAAAATATTTCCCTTAAAGGATAACATAAAACTGTTTGGTATTTTTGCTGGTTAGGTGATTTCCAAATACATATTTAGATAAAACAGAAGGAGGCCCGATACAGTTTTTAACTTATAAGTTGTTAGAAATAATTTCTGATGAGAGTTCACCATATCATAAATAAATAGATCCTCAATGGTTTATTTTTCATAACATTAAAAGTATAAAACAAGAAATAATTGAATAGTAATATGCATTAAAGGGAACCATGTAAAATTTCTGACTGTTACAGAAAATTTTCATGTCTTGTGATTGCTTATCTGTAAAATGGAAGAGGAGAATCAGATGTAAGGTTCTGTGTTCTTTGTTCTACAAATTCAGTGCTTATTTTTCCAGTCAATAGAGACACATTGACTATCTCGTCCTTCAAATAGCCAGTTGAGTAACTGTTTTAAATATGGAAATATGGCTAATCAAACATAATTTGACAGTTATAATAGAAACTGTCTTTTTTCAAAAACCTTCTGTCAGCTTCTGTATTTGATTCTACTTCTGTTTTCATTTAATCATTAAATTAAAGATATTACCTTGAAATATTATTAAAGATAATTGGTTGAGACACTAACTTGTATTTTACTCCCAGTGTATTTCTTCCTTTTACCGAGAAGTTACCCTGTGCTGTTCTTGCTTCAGGGGCGTTGATGTTACAAGCCTTAAAGCAGAAGTTGTCTGAACACAGCCTCCTCCCCCAACATTTTGTTTTTGAAAACAGAAGTCCTTTTAATGGATTAAGCCAGTTTATTTCAGAGTGATATGAGAGAGAGATTCATCTTTGGAAGGTGGTGGAAGGTACAGAGCAGGTGGGCAGAAATACACACAGTTCATGAGAATAAAATATTCCTTATATGTATGAGAGAATGTGTGTATGTATCTGATGATGGGAATTATGTTCCTCTGCAGCAACCTAGGGAGAAGATAGGACTTTAGAAGGGACAGCTGCAAGGTGCAATCATGGAGACTAGATAATTGGCCAAGGCTTTTACCTTCAGCTAAGGTATTACACTACATCCAAACTGTGCCCAAGCTAAGTGTAGAAATAGCAAGAAAAGGCCAGGTGCGGTGGCTCAAGCCTGTAATCCCAGCACTTTGGGAGGCCGAGGCAGGCAGATCACTTGAGGTCAAGAGATCGAGACCAGCCTAGCCAACATGGTGAAACCCCGTCTCTACTAAAAATACAAAAATTAGCTGGGCGTGATGACGCGCACCTGAGGCAGGAGAATCGCTTGAACCCGGGAGGCGGGGGTTGCCTTGAGCCGAGATAGCGCCACTACACTCCAGCCTGGCGACAGAGCGAGACTCCATCTCAAAAAAAAAAAAAAAAAAAAAAAGGCAGAAAAGCCCACCTTCTACCTTCTAATGGCTCACATAGGATTACACAATTTATTTTTCAGCCGTGACTGTGATATATTAAAGTGTAGAAAACTTTTCTTTATTTTCAAGGCAGGCTGAAAACTCTTTGGATGTTGGTGCAACCTTAGAGAATAAATGCTGCTCTCGCCGCCCTGAGTACAGTGGGCCTCAGCAATAGATTTCAATTGATTTAGAAAAACAAAGTATTATGACATTTCTTGTAAAAATGTATGATCAAAGAAAACTCACACCTCTACATATCTACTATAATTTTCATTTTTCAGACAGTATAACTGTGATATTCATTGACAGTTTTAGCCAGGTGTTTCTGGTTTTCCTCCTCAGTACAAGGTGGTTTCTACTTCCCCTCCCCTTGAAGTGGGCGTGGCGACGTGATTTACTTAGATCAATCAAACGTGTGTGGTGCGGGCCTCACTTCCAGGTGGAAGCAATAAAAGTAGGTCTGCCCTCCCCAAAGTAGGGTCTTGTCTTTCTCTCTGCCTCAACGATTGGTGACGCTTTGGTTAGCTCGTCTGTTAGCCTCGGTTCTGGAGTGAGGATGACACGGAACAGAGCACCCAGTCTACCCACATGGACAGGAAGTGTGAGCAAAAAGTAAGTCTTGGTTACTTAAGTTGGTGCGATTTTAGAATTGTTTCCAGAGAATAACCTTGAAAATCTTACCCAGTACAATCAATAATGAAGCCCAGAGAGTCAAACAACTTGTTTAAGTTTACTTCTCGGTTAATACATGTTGATTTCAAATACAACTTTCCCTGCTAAGCAGTTAATATTCTATAAGTATTTATTAAGTGCCTGCTAAGGACACACCCTGCTAAGGACCCTGAGGATACTGTGTTGAACGACACAGACAGGGTCCTTGCCTTCAAGAGAGCCACTCACAGACTACTTAACCTTTGTTCAATAATTTGTTTAGGGGTTAGCATTAAGTTTACAATTTCTAGAATCCATTGCCTCAACCCCTCACACACACACACCCACCTTTAAGAAATGGGAATAACATTTGCCCATTTCCAGACTTTTGGGGCCTCCTTTTTTCTTTGTGATTTCTTAGAGTTTAACAACCGTAGTGCCTTGATCACATCTGCAAGTCATTTAAATATCCTAGGATATAATTTATCTGGGCCCTAAGGCTTGAATTAATTTAAAGCTGTAAAGTAGTCCCTTATTATCTCTGCACCTATCTTGTACTTCACTTCCCTCCTAATGATGTTTGTTCTAGATTTGCCAGCTTGAAAATTATTTTCCTTGATGGGGAAAAGAGCAAAACAGAATATGAATAAATCTAAGCTCTCTGCTTTGTTGCTTAACATGTTTTTTGTAGTAAATTGTAGACTTTTCCTGAGGTGTGTGGATTGTTTTGAGCAAGCATATGTACCTGCAGCGTAGCCAAGAAAGTCTACTTAATAGAGATTAAGACCAGTTAATAATGAGTGAAGCTGAAACTAAAAACTCATATGCAGGTGTTCAAACAAATTATTGAGGTGAGCCGGTTGAGATTAATGTGTGTCCAGGAGAACTCATTGGAGAAGCACCTAGAATGTTTTTGGTACTATGAATACTCTAGCTCAATGCATTTTCTTTTTTTTTAATCTGAGGCAACCTAAGGTAGCACTTTCGTATTTGAACAAACATAGAATTACAATTTAGTTAACATTTGTAAAGCACCTACTCTGTATTTGGTACTGTGTCTGTATAGTTGCTGTTACCCTAGAATGGTGATAGTGATCAAAACTGAGTATCCACACTGTGAGTGCTGGTATTCAGTGCTCTCTCTTATGGAAAGATTGTGGGCTTAGTTTGGGTCAGGGAAAGCTTCATTCCTGAGGTGTTTTTTTTTTTTTTTTTAATCTCATCAGATTCTTGTGCAAGTTTCCCAGTACTGGATTTTGATTCCATTTAAAGCTCTATTCTGCCTTATTTATGTAAAAGCCCTTGTTTTGTCTTAAGAGTTTTCCAGTGTTTCAAGTCTTTGTAAACTTCTTCAGATTCTCTCCATTTTTTGTATTCTTAACATCTTCTCAACCTTGAAGGTCTGATCTCATTACCTTGTAGAGACATGAAAATTTCTTCTTTAGTTTCTGATTACTAAATTTGGTCAGTAGCTCACATTATGTTTATAATATGGGGATTAGTACTTAGAGTCTCTGATTTTAATTCCTCACCATATGCCCTTTAGAACTTCTGAACAAAGGTACAATTCCATCTCTCTCAGAACTTTGGAAATGTTCTTTCAGAAAAATATAGCATTTTGGTTTTGTCTGTCTCTCACTGCTTGGCTTTTATTAACTTGAAGATGACATGGTTACACTGTCTCCCATGGTTTCTGTTCCCTCCACATTCATAGTCCTGTCTTCCTAGATTATAAGAGGCTTACCCAAGAGTAACATTTCTTTGCTTCTTTAACCTTCAGTCAATCATTTTCAGTTTTTAGTGTGTATCACAGTGTGGTCTGCAGACACGTGGAGTGATTGTTTAAAATGTACATTTCTCAGTGCCCTTTCTCAGAACCAGCTATACAATTAGCAGGGCATAATGCAAAATTAAAGCCCCATGTTGAAAAGCATTAAGAATTTTTGATGGTGACATCAAAATCATTAAGAATTTTACATGATGGTGACAGTAAGACATTAAACCCAGCATGGGGCCCTTCTGAGCATGCCCAAAAAGCCAGCTCTATTTTTTCTTCAAAGATTCTGATTGAGGAAGTTTGTTTTAGAGCCAGAAAGTTGCATTTTTAGCAAGCTTACTGTATTTTCTGTTGTAGGTTGTTCTGTAGGCCTGTTTGAAAACCCTGCTCTGCGTGATGACCATTCCCATGCCCACAGCAAATTCAAACAGTAATATTCGAGGTTACGTGCTTTCAGAAGATAAACATTTTACCAATACATGTTGCCTTGGTGCCTGTTTTCCAATGTATTTTAGAAAGTCATTGACATACAGTCTGACAGGGTTGTTTATAATATCATTCCACAGGGATATCCCATCTTGTCTCTTTTGTATTAAATAAATGCTTTTGTTCAGGTGGTTCAATCTTTAGATTTTTAGCTATATACATGCAGATGTAGTGATATAGAGACATGTTTATGATGTACAGTCATGCACCATGTAACGATATTTTGGTCGATGACAGACTACATATTGGGCAATGGTCTCATAAGATTATAATACTGTATTTTTACTATATTTTTTTATGTTTAGATACAAAAATACTTACCATTGTGTTATAGTTGCCCAAAGTATTCAGTACTGTAACATATACAGGTTTTTCGCCTAGAAGAAATAGGCTGTATCATACAGCCTAGGTGTGTAGTAGGCTGTAGCATCTAGATTTGTGTAAATAACTCTGTGATAGTTACACAATGATAAAATCGTCTAACAATACATTTCTTAGAAGGTATCCCAGTTATTAAGCGATCTGTAGCTGTATAGTTAAAAAAAAACTCTACTTGACTACTTAACGTGTACTTCTAGATTATTTGGGGGGAAAAATGTCAGGCAATATATAACAGGAAAAATTATTTTGTAAAACAAATATGAAAATGCTAAAAAGTGGCCTCTACCGGATATAGAACTCCCAGAATATATACCTATATATGTATATATTTTTGCTCTGCATGAGCATAAAATACTCATATTTGTATATAAAAATACATATATGTCTAGTATTATAAAAAATAAAAATTTTAAATATATGGTCCTAATACATGCATATGCCTTGGCCCAGCAGACAACACATATTAAGATGATCGTCTATGAAATCACGTTTGTCAGTTGATGTTAATGGCGTAAATCCTCTTAATTTCTACATATTGTGTGTTGGTGCATAAACATTTAATTTGACACACTTTTTCATTAACTTCTTCAGAGCTTCTGGGTGCCTTCTCTAGTATGTTCTATGTTACTCAATCTGTGTTTCTCAGGTTTAATTTTATCTATGCATTTTCAAAACTTCCACTGAAATTTCTGTTCAATTCCACAGCCATATATGTATTCATTGAGCACAGGTCATATTGCATGCTAGACAAAGAGACTATAAAGATAAAAACTACTAGGACACAAGCTCTTTCTTTAAAGAGTTCAAATGAAGTTTAAATTCACAAATGGACATTTATAGTGATAATACAGACTAACCTAACATTTGTATATATGTTTTCTTCCATGGCTTTGGGTTCATAACTCCCATACCTCTTGTTACAGTAAACAGAATCTTCCTCTCTGGTCTTTTCCTGCTCTCCTTTTACCTGCCCATGGCAGGACTCAAAGCTGGTTGTGGGTTACAAGAACCTCATTCTAGAAAGGGTCCTGACTTGTGCCCCGGAGGAAGGAGTATTGCACGGAAAGGCCTAAAAGAATCTGAACAGACAGGCCTTATTGTGTTAAGATCATACCCTTTTGTCCAATCACATTTCAACATGAGTGTCCATGCTTCAATCGTGCCTGTCCAGTGAAGTCTCCCTAAAAAGCCAGAGAGGACAGGGTTCAGGAGCTTCTGGGTAGCGGAACACAGAGAAGTTCCTGGAGGGTGGCACACTCAGGGAAGGAATAGAAGCTCTGTGCTTCTTCCCCATTCCTCACCCAGTGAATCTGTTTATCTGTATCCTTTGTAATACCCTTTATAATAAACTAGTAAATGCGTTTCCCTGAATTCTGTGAGCTGCTCTAACTAATCAAACCCAAAGAAGGCATTGTGAGAACCCCAACTTGAAGCAAGTTGGTCAGACGTTCTAGAGGCCTAGACATGCAACTGGTGGGAAGCGAGGAGGAGGTTTTGTGGAATTGAGCGCTCAACCTGTGGGATCTAATCCTGTCTCCAGGTAGACAGTGTCAATTGAATTGGAGGACACCCAGCTGGTGTCTGCTGCAGAATTGCTTGCTTGCTTGCTGGTGGGGCAGAATCACCACATGTTTTGGGGTCACATATTTTGAAGTTTTATGTGTTGATTGTTGTTGTATTGGTGTGAGAGTAGAGGAAAAACATAGCTTGCTTTTTCAAGCAGTGATGCATGCTGAACCCAACAATTAAGTTAAACTCAAGATGCTACTGGAGCTCCATAAAGAAATGCCTACTGAATCCAGATTAAGTTGTGAGAAAGTAGTTCAGAAAATATTTCCTGAAATAGGTACAAACTGAATGAGGCTAGAACAATGAGTCAATTGGGCAAAGATTGGGATAAAGGTTGTGCATCAGTCAGAGTTCTCTAGAGGGACAGAACTAATAGGATAGATGTATATATGAAAGGGAGTTTATTAAGGAGTATTGACTCACACAATCTCAAGGTTAAGTCCCACAATAGGCTGTCTTCAAGGAGCAAGGAAGCCAGATGGATGTGTTTGCTTCCCCTTCTGCCAGGATTGTAAGTTTCCTGAGGCCTTCCCAGCCATGCTAAACTGTGAGCCAATTAAACCTCTTTCCTTTATAAATTACCCAGTCTCGGGTATGTCTTTATAAGCAGCATGAGAATGGACTAATACATACAGTTTGCAATGAATGGGCTGGCCACAAAAATATAAGGGGCAGAGTTTTGAGAAATGCTTTAAGTTAGGGGCTAAGACAAAGAATATATATTTGTTTATATTTACCTAGGTGAAGAATTTTAAACTTTATTCTAAAGGAAGGGGAATATTGCTACATTTTAACCAAGAAGGTGATCAGATTTTCATCTACAGTAAATAAGCCCCCTGAATTACCCATTCTTCTCAGTTCTAAAGAATATTTTACCCTTGTCAAAATAACAGCTTAAGTCATGATCCAAAAGAAAGATTCTCCTCTTTGACACTACCTAGTAGTACCAGCTTTTGTCTATATTCTCTTTAAAGACGTAACGGCACAATAAAAAAGAATTGAAATTCCCATCTGCATCATAAACCCTTTTTTTTAAATTTCTAATTAGTACTTTAAGGGACCTGGAGGCACTTTAGAGTTTCTTCAGAAGGTGTCATACAGTCTATAAGGGCATCAACAATTTGGTCATAAATGGGAAAAAATGGGTCTGATACCATCTGGTATGCTCTTGTCAGCCCTGCATCTAAAATCCTTAAAGATCACGCATCTTCCCATTTGCCACATCACATTCCCATATGTTTGCTCAATTTTTCACTACTACACATTCTATTCTTGTCTAGAAAAGAAAAAAGTTTCTGTTGAGCCTAGTTGTAAATAAGAGTATTTTATTCCTTAAGTAGAAGTAATATAAATTGTAAGAGACAACATTGATTGCTGTTAGTCATAACAGCTTTCACACTTGACCATTTTCCCTAAATATATTTAAAAAAAAACAAAAGCTTCCCCTTAAGACCTCATTACTGAGTATGAAATTTAGAAAAAAATTGTATCGAGGGACAGGTAATTTGCTCATACCAACTTGCTTTACAGCATTACAAAAATCAATTTATCAACAATGACCACTATAGGTGATATTACCTATTCAAACTTAAAAGACATTTGAACTCTGGGAATCTCACTGCTTATGAAGATGTTATTGTCAATTTTCACTAATATATATGCTGAAGAATTCGCTATAATAATGGTCATTATATTTCTACAAAATCTATAGCATTACAAATCTAAAAGACGTCAAGGACAGTGTTGCTATCTAAATGTTAATTCCTGCTTATCATTGGCATTCACTTAGAAGTTATTTTTTAAAGTCTAAATTTTTCTTACATTCCTATTATTTTGAGTAAATAATTAGCATTTCCCAGACCTGTTTCATAAATCTAACTTTGTATTCTTTTAAAATTTACTTTCCACATAAAATTATTGGTTCACTATTTTTCAGAGGCATAAAGTTTTTCTTTCTAAATGTAAAAATATGTTCCCCAGTAAAAAATTCTTTCTTTACATTGTATTTCCTTTATTGCTTCCATTTTAAGGTGACATTATGGGAGGAACAATAATTGCCTTGTTCATTTTGATTTATTCGGCTCTATGCCTCCTTACCTTGCTAATGAAAAATATACTGTCCTACATGGGTCATTTATGATGTGATTCCATAAGATGCTTTTTGCATTTCCAGCCCAGAGGATAATATATTAGCTTAAAACTACCTAGTAGGAAAGAATTTGTTGGCGTTTTGTTGTTGTTTCTGTTCTGTCTTCCTACCTAATGGGTAACTTAAAACTAATCTATATTTGTAATTGTGAGGACTAAGAGGCAAAAGACAAACGGCAACTGTTGTCAGAATGAGAGCTTTTGCTAAGACCTGTTCTTTTTCCTAATTTCCTATGAGTCCTGCTATGTAAGTGGAATCTTATTCTTCCTTCCTTTCTCAAACCGTCAGTACCTTCTGTTGGGTGATTACTTACCAACAGGTCAGAGAACTACTTTTGTTTCATGAGAAATGAGTAAATGTGGCCACTTTCTTACTAAAGGAGCAGATGTCTATGAAAATATTTGTAAGTCACCATGGAATTTGTACAAAGGCAACTTCATTTGTTTTATTGCCAGGGAAGAGGGTAGCATCACATAGCATATAATTTCAAATCCAGAAAGAAATCCATACATCTATAGTGAACTTATTTTCAACAAAAGTGCCACGAACATACATTGGGGAGAGACAGTCTCTTCAGCAAATGGTGTTGGGAAAACTGGATATCCATATGCAGAAGAATGAAACAAGACCCCTCTCTCTTGCCAAATATAAAAATCAAATTAAAATAGATTAAAGACTCAAATCTAGGACTTGAAACTATGAAACCACTAAAAAAAAACTTTGGAGACACTCTCCAGGACATTAGCCTGGGCAAAGATTTCTTACTGTTCCACAAGCATTGGCAACCAAAGCAAAAATGGACAAATAGAATCACATCAGGTTAAAAAGCTTCTGCACAGTAAAGAAAACAGTCAACAAAGTGAAGAGACAACCACAGAATAGGAGAAAATATTTCCAAACTATCATCTGACAAGGGATTGATCACCAGAATATATAAGGAGCTCAAACAACTCAATAGGAAAAAATCTAATAATCCAATTTAAAAATGGGCAAAAGATCTAAACAGACGTTTCTCAAAAGGCATACAAATGGCAAACAGGCATATGAACAAATGCATCAGAAAACTGCAGATCAAAACTACAGTGATATATCATCTCCCCCCAGTTAAAATGGCTTTTATTCAAAAATAGGCAATAACAAATGCTGGCAAGGATGTGGGGAAAAGGGAACGCTCATACACTGTTGGTGGGAATGTAAGTATCCTTCAGTCACTGTAAAGAGCAGTATAGAAGTTCCTCAAAAACCTAAAAATAGAACTATCATATGATCCAGCAATCCCACTGCTAGGTATAGTCAAAACAAAGGAAATCAGTATATTCAAGAGATATCTGCTCTCTCGTGTTTATTGCAGCACTATTTGCAATAGCGAAGATTTGGAAGCAACTTGTATCCAAGTTGCATATCAAGTAACAGATGAATAAATAAAGAAAATGTGGTACATGTACACAGTGGAGTACTATTCAGACATAGGAAAGAATGAGATTCTGTCATCTGCAACAACATGGATGGAGCTTGAGGACATTATGTTAAGTGAAGTAAGCCAGGCAGAGAAACACACACTTTGCATATTCTCACTCATCTGTGAGAGCTAAAAATTAAAACATTTGAACTTATGGAGACAGGGAGTAGAATAATGGTTACGAGAGGCTGGGAAGGGTAGTTGGTGGAGGCGGGTGGTTAATGGGTACAAAAACAGAATGAATAAGATCTAGTATCTGATAACAGGGTGACTACAGTCAACAATAAATTATTGTGCATCTTAAAATAACTAAAAGAGTATAATTGGAATGTTTGTAACCCAAAGAAATGATAAATGTTTGAGGTGATGAATACCCAATTTACCCTGATGTGATTACTACACACTGTATGCCTGTATCAAAATATCTCAGGTACCCCATAAATATATATACCTACTATGTTCTCATAAAAATTTAAAATTAAAATAATATATAATATTTTCCAGGAAAATTAAACTCGCATGTTAGCAGAGTAAGAAGATCATTTTCTGCCATAGTTTATTATTATCAATATGGTTGAGTTCAGAAAATGTTTTCTCTTAATAAAAAGTTTATATTAAATGAAAAAAGATACATCAATTGTTTAGTGGCAAGACTTTACACTTCATATTTTCTGATGCTCTTACAAAGCTTGTTTTCATATGAATACCTTAGTCTTTAAGCTTTAAATGAGTTGATTTTAGTCCCATATTGAATAGCGTATTATTATTTTGTTATTGTTGTTCATATGTGATCCAATACAGCTAGATGGGAAGACTGAGAGTTGAAACAGGATAATACTTAACATGAAGCCATATGTTCCTTGAGAACAGGCTGTCTCAGAGCCAGCTTGGGACTGAAGACTGCATAGGGAAAGGAGATGTCAGGGTCTCTGTCTTTCAGACTATTGCCAAGAGGAATGGTCTACAGACTCACCCAGAATCTTGAGTCCATGTGAACATTTGAGAAGTTCATAAGCTAGGTCCTGGATATTATTAGATTTCTCCAGCAAATCTGACATAATTCAAAAAGTCAAATATGTATAAAAATATCATAAATAGAGAATATGTTATTGTACCAATTGACATGAAATGATGTAATGAGAAAAACTCAGAATCATATTAAAACAAAAGACTTCTCCTAAACTAGGAGGGAGCCAAGAGACCAAAGAATGACTCAGACAAGTCCAGCTTGGCAAGTAGGTGAGTTTATTAGGATTTACATACGAGGCAGTCCTGGATGGCAGCAGAACAGCTTGAGAGATTTGCGCTGCCTCCCATCCGTAAGCTGTTGTTAAGCTGGCTTTCTGGCACTTTGTCTACTGTTTGTGTGGTGGGACTGCTTTCCTTGGTAGTTCTCAGATACTCTCCAGGATTCTTGGCTTCTCAGGGACACCTGCTTTTCAGCCGGGCACCATAGCCTTGACTCATCAACTTGCATTCAAAACATGTCACACTGCAGGTCTTTTAATTGATAGTGCTTAGTTTTGTCTTTTTTTTTTCTTTATGTACAATCTCATAAGTACCTATTTTTAAGAGACATCCACAGGGCCAAGACATTTATATATTTTATTATTTTAAATGTCTTGGTTGGTTATAAACAACCAAGCAAGACTTTTATACATTTTCACTAAAGACTATCGTGTTTGTTTCTACAACTTCCTATTAGGCACATGTGTAGAAATGTTCTTCAGCATAAATAATTCAAAACTTAGTTTTAAGCAGCTAACCCACTATAGTCAGATTACAGTAAAGACATTAATTCATTTTTTTCACAGGCCTTCCAATATGAACTTCATTTAAAATTCATTGGTTCTTTTTTCAGATCATCCTCTCTCCCTACATTTTCATAGTTGCTGTTAACCTTAAAGATGTTTCACACAAATGCATAGAGACAGATACAAGACAAATGAATAGAGAAAATTCTATGAAAAAAAGATATACTTTAATTGCTTATGAACTTTATAATATTGTTGAGAACGATTATTTGTCAGGGAGTGATAAAAATTCCCACATGAATGCATGTACTATAATTATAATAATTTGTAATGATTCAACACTCTTGTAGTCAGAGCAAAGTGCTCTTCTGCCTGCGTTGTGTTTTTATGTATTTGTAGGTGTTATGAATCCAAAGACTCATAGATGGTCATTTTAACCTGACATGCTCTGTTGTAGGAGAGCTTCTTCAATTCATTAACCTCATTTAAATAGACACAAAATGCTAAATCAAGAAAATTCCTTCTGATCATTTTAGAAATCAGTAATGACTTCACCACAGCAATATCTCTTTTGGGTGTTTGACAAACAGTATCTTTTCTGGTAAGGAGGAGTAATAGAGAATTTAATAATCATGGATATGAATAGGGGAAAAACTGAAAATCTGCTCATTATAATTATAATAGGTAGTATAATTAGAGATGCCTGGACAACCAGAGCAATGGAAAGAGCTAAGAATGTGTAAAAAATGAAGAGGAGGCTGGGGAAAGCTTCAATTGTAGTGCCATTTCAGAGTTAGATTTGTAAAAATCAATGGAAGCAGTAAACAAGAGAACTGACTCCACTAATGCATAGTGTGCATAGTGGGAATGATATATGAATTACATTCTAACCATATGTGAATGCAAATAGTAGTATCATATTTGGAAAAGGACATCAGCTCTTTACAACACTGTATACTCTCCTAGACCATAGTCTTCTTTTTTTGTAAGATAAAAAAAGATTGCCCCCAAGCCTAAAGCAACACATATCCGTAGTTTTGAATTGAATCCAGGATTGATACTTTACTTTACCGATGTCTTTGAAATCAACATGGTTGATGACAAAAGACATATAAATCATCCTATGAAATCTTGTGACCTTGATCTTTGCTACTTTATTCAGCCAAGTTGGTTCTTCTCAGGACTTTAAATATAAGAGCATTGAATTGACTAAAACAGTGTGTCCTAGGGGCAGAATAAGATCTTCGTGATTAATGATTTATTGGAAAAAGGTACTGAGAAGAGCGGGTGTGTCTTAGACTTGGGATCCCTTAGGTGGTGAGTTGATATTTATATGCTATGTTATTTTATAAATAATTGCTAAAAAGTGTCTCAGGAACATTGTGTAATCCTTTAAATTTGTAATTGTAGGCGGCCCTTAATTTTAAGGTAAGTGATTTTGCTATACAATAAAATAATTAAAAATGTTCAATTTAGGCCCAACTCAGGACAATGCCAATTCTTATACTGTTTTCTAATTAAGAAAAAAATAAAGTGAAATTAGTAGGAGCACATTTTTAATATCTCATAATTAAACTAATCAATAAAAATAAACAGATGTTTGGCTGAAAGGGAACAAAGAGAAAAAACAAAGGGAGAAAGGAAATCATAGGTTCTCAGAATAGCCTGCCCAATGAGCGAAGGCAGAAGGAGAGTGAGTTACCGGCAATAGACAGAAAATTGCTTGCTTTTTTGTTTTGCTTTCCTCAAGCATACACAGATCCAGCTCCCCATACCATCTTCTCCATATTTATGACTGCCCCTTGTCCTTAATGGAACCATCTTTCTCTTATGTATCGTTCCTTCACTCCCTTCTTTGTTTTGCTTTTTCTTCATTCCTCCTTGACTGGTGGAGGACATTTCATTACACGTGTGCTTGGAAACTTTGATGCCCTTAGTCTGGCTCAGTAAATATCTCTGTATGTACCTTGTCATCAATGTGACACTTGAGCACTGGGCTTGACTAACAGCAGCAAGTATCTGGATACAGCATTCATTCTAGGAATAATACGGTATTTTTCTGGTGGAGGAAGCATGGACTAGACTTTTGGAAACCTGGGTTCTAGGCCTGACTCTGGCTCTCTTGAGCAGTTTGACCTTGGATAATCAAGTCCTTACTTCTGGTGTCGATTCCAGGTCTCTGAAGTGATTGTATTGATATTTTGTATTCCCTCCTTGGCTAATTTAGTCCAACCTTCTCATTTTAGGGGTAGAGAAATTAAGCTATGGAGAGAATTATCTACAAACATCTCATTTATCTTGTATTAATATTAGTTTGCATTTATATTACTTCATTTATATAGAATTGTCTTTATGTAGAATTTTATGTGTGTATAAAATACAACTATTGAGGATCCCCACTCCCCACTCAAAACAACAAAATTCACCTCCTTAAATTATCTGTTCTTCAAATAATACCTCATCCAGGTATACTACTAACTGTAATCCTCCCAAGAGTTTTATTTTAGAATGGGGAATAAAATGAACAGTTCAGTAGTAGAAGTGAGAGACTAGATATTTTTGTTGCAAATAAAGTTATCCAGGGAAAGGGGAGTGGTCAAGAATAACACACTTTCTGGAACAGGAAAATTAGAGTGGCCTGACTACTATTATAAAATGAGCAGGTATACGTTTATATAATATAGTTTTTTTTTTCAGTAAAATTCTAAGTTGTGAAGACGCTGGTATTCTATTTTATTAGAAGCCATATTGCATGCAGAAAGTTACACACACACATTCATTCACATACAAATATTCCTAAGTGAAAAACTATGTTTGCTATATTTGTCATTTAAATATAAACTTATGACAACTTGTGGCACAGGTTTATTTTATTTTTGACATGGGGGTCTTGTTCTGTCACCCAGGCTGGTGTGCAATGGTGCAATCAGTGCAATCACTGCTTACCGAAGCCTCTACCTCTCAAGTTCAAGCAATCCTCCTACCTCAGCCTCCCGAGAAGCTGGGACCACAAGCATATGCCACCACACCCAGCTAATTTTTTTTTTTTTTAATTTTGTGTAGAGACAAGGTCTCCCTGTGTTTCCCAGGCTGGTCTCAAATTCCTCAGCTCAAGTGATCCTCTCGCCTCGGCCTCCCAAAGTGCTGGGATTATAGGCATGAGCCACCATGCCTGGCCTGTAGCACAAGTTTAAAGATATTATTGCCAGAATGTCTGCTTTCCTCAATAAAGGCTAGAGGAAATCGAATAGCAAAAGTGCTGTTGGAAGGAGAGGTACCTCAGGCCTGATTTATCTACTCTTATCTGTCTACGTTAAGCTAATTGAAAGAAGAAATCATGTTTGCTGTGAAACAACCAAAATCTATTATGTGAGGGACTTCCCACATAGTGAGTTAGATAGAAAGACTAATACAGTTAGCTAAACTTGTGCCAAAACTATTAAAATGTACTTTTTAAAGTATACTTTACAGACAAAAACCAACTTGGCTGTTATTATAATCTATGAATATAATTCATAATACAATCCATGATATTTGAAACTTTGAGCCCCTCAGTAATTCTTTATTGTGCATTGTGTATGTGTATATGTGTGTAATGGTAGTAGCAGCTGGCAAACAAAAATGATTTTTATCTTAATGTTACAGTGTTCCCAAGTTTATTTCCTTAAGTACTGCCCTGCTGAATTTTCTTAGTCGATATTGCCCCCTTCAGTTCATTCCAAGGATGTGCATGATAATAAATGGAGCACATAATTTTTCTCTGGGCTGTGTTTAACTTGGCACCAGGAGATTAACAGACAAGGCAGCCAAACCCACTCAAGGCTGATATGACCTCATTGGTCACATGGACATTCTAGTTCTTTCCCAGGCATTATTTCCACATGAGAAAAGATGTTGTTTTTGAAGGAGTCAGCAACCAAAACCAATATCCACATTAAGGAATCATTGCCAATTAGATTGCCTTTAGTGGCAATGAAGGATTTGAAACTGGTGTAAATTTCTCTTAAAATCATATGGGCCCACTGTAATTACTACAAATAAAAATAAAAAGATATTGCGAGTGTCCTTTTGCCTTAGGGTCAGAGAAGGAAACATAAGCTGGAGGGCATTTAATTCAGCCAACCTTCATTATTCGTTTAAAACCTTTAGTAACAGTTATTTTCATAGCATTCTGTTGATTGAGCAAGCCAAGATATTACATAAAGGCCTCCTTGTTTGTAGAAGGGCTTAGGAGAACTGAGAAAATTTGGTGGAAAATATGACTAGTTTTGTGAAGATTATATAATTTGACATTTTATTTAACAGCAAAGTATTATTAATCATTTTTACCAACCACAAAATACAAATGTAGACATTTTTAAATACTCAATATAGGTCTAGAAAACCATTAGTGATTTCACAAAACATTCCACAGCCTTATACCAACCTTGAAAATAGTTTCCAAGAAAGCAAAAGGCTCAGACACACAATTTATCAGTAGGCAACCCTATATATTGCATGAATGTTAGTTCCACCCTATACTCTGCTGGCCTCTTCCTGCTGTGTTCAGTTGCAATGGACTAATCAAACGTAAACCTCATTCTACATTTAATTCTGAAATTTCCCACAAGCATAGATTTTCAAAGAAACAACAACCAAAACTGTAGACAAAGGATCTTTATCCCATTGAAGATAAAAAAAAAAAATAGGTAACTTGAAGTTTTCACAATAGACACTGATAAATGGAAGAAGCATGTTAAATTTCTTCGGCGTTTAATCCTCCCTTTAAATGTTGATAACTTATTAATCTTCAGTTCTGTAATCAAAGATAAATATTTTAACCACTATTGCTGTGTTTCTGTTATATACTGTCATGGTGGTATTTGTTTGGATTTTTTTTAATAATGGAAAACTACAAAAAACAAAATATTGTATTATTCATATCTATACTTTAACTTGGGATAGCCTCCAAAACAAATGTGACTTAAATTTAATGTCAGTGGCAATTTGGTTTTTAAAAAATAAAATTCAATTGTAAATGAATTACTTTTTAAATCCACTGAGCAGAGTTCACATTTTACTTTGAATTTTTCTTCTCTTTTTTCTCTTTATGTTTGTATGTATGTTCATGTCTGTGATTTTCTTCCCCTAAGTAATACTAAGATATTCTAACACTAATTATTTGGAAATGTAGGAAAGTAGAGAGCAGAGAGGGGAAAAAAAAGGAAATATGATTCACTTTTTCTGTTTATATTCTAAATTTTGCTTTGTGCCTTAACTTTTTGTTTTATGATTATATATTTTAAAAACCTGTATCTTCTCATCTTTCTTGAGCTGTTGTTCATAGAACCTAAGACACTCTTGTTCCCTCAAATCTATTCTCTACTCAGAAGCCAAAATGACCATTTAAAAAAAATTAGATGATTGTGTTGCTCCCTTTCAGTGACTTCCAATGCAGTTAGAATGTACACTAAACCCCTATTCATGGTCTGCAAGGCCCAGCATAATCTCAGCCCCACCTCACTATTCACTTTCCTCTCATGAAACCCTTCTCCCTCAGTGGGCTCCATTTACAGGTATTCCTTTCAGTCCCTCAAATGCTCTTTCCTGCTGCAGGATATTTGCATGTGCTGTAACTTGCTTCTGGGAAGCTTTTACCCCTGTTCCTCATGTGGCAAACACCTCATTCTGCATATTTTGGTTTGATACCACTTTATTTAGATAGGTCAACCACTTAAGTTGGATCATCCTAGCTATCCTCCATCACTGTACTCTGTTTCTTCCCTTCAAAGCATTTATCATTTAAAATGTTCACTTATTTGTTTGTATTCCCACATATTAAGTGCTATTTATCAATGTGTCCCTAAAGTAGTTGAATGAATAAATAAAGTTATGTACCTAATCAAATTTTAAACAACATTGATTAATGTACTGAGCTAAAGGTAGATCTCAGCATGAATATGAAATAATCTCACTAATTTATTCGTTGCTTTTGCTATCTAATATTTATTTGCCAACTATTGTGTACCAAGAACCCTTCTAGGTTCTGAGAATATACCAATTTTTACGAAATGCCTGTTCTCATTTAGCTTATATTCTAAGCATGGATGAAGGGGGAAGATAGGCAATAATAGAGTCAATTAAAAGGTCAAAAGTGCTACAGAAACAAAACAAATGAAGATTAGTGGTGTGTGTTGAGTGAGGAATTTTAAGTAAAATGACCATGGAACCCTCACTAAGGAAAGATTTGGTATCAGTGAAGGAGCAGGACAACCTTATACCAGGGAAAAATTATTCTGAGCTAGCAAACAAAGCAAAGATAATCACCAGAACTGATGAAGTGTTGTGAGCCGGGAGTGTCTCAAGGAGGAGTTAGGGGAGTAGAAAGAGAAGAAGCCAGAGAGAGATAAGATCTTTTAGGCTATTGGAAGGACCTCGGCTTTCACTCTGTCAAATATAAAGCCATTGCAAGTTTTATAGTTTTAAGCTGAGAAGTGACATATGTTTTAAAAGGATTTTCTGGCTGTAGGGTTGGGAATATTCTGTAGGGGATCGGGGTGCAAGTGGGAGATCATTTAGAATGCTATGGGAATTGGATTATTCCCAACTGGATTGTTGGGAAACAATGGTGACCGGGACAGATAGTCACAGTGGAAGGGGAGAAAAGTGGCTAGATTCAGGATATATTACAATGTTTGCTCAGTTTTATCAAAGCTTTTCGTGAGATATGACAGCAGAGAAAATAACCTTAGCAATCGATAGGGTGATGAATAATCTTAATCACGGAGGAAATTACACTTTCCAGATTTACCTTTAGGGAGTATTCTGTATTTGGAAGTTCCTTAAGAGGCTTATTTTGGAAAGAAAGGCAAGGACTAGGGGCTGAATTTAGGAGAAAAAAAAAGTTATCCTTGAGAAAATGTAAAAAAAGATGTGAGTTATTCTGAAAAACAGCCAAGTGCTGAGAGAAAATAAGAAGCCAAGGGTTTGGAGCTGGTGAGATAATGGAAGACAGTGTGTTTCATGATATGACCACTTCCTTAATGGTCCAACTTTTTAGCAAAGGTCCTAAAATCATGAAATACTTGAAATATATAGAATATATATATATATATATATATATATATATATATATATATATATATATATATATATATGGAAATAGTCCATATTGGAATGAATGGGACAGGAAATCAGGCAGATAAACAGAAACAGGAATTTAGTCATGGAAACGTTCTCATAAGACCATAAAATTGGAGGCTAAAGGCAGGCTGTTTAGATCTTGACAGGTTAAGATTGCAGCCAACCTCTATAATAAGCGTAATGACTTTTTAATCTAAAACCTTTGATTTGAGTTCTGTCCCAGGTAACAGGGACCAACCAAGTTGAGATGGATATGGAATATGTGAAGTTATGAGTGAGATAAAATTTGTCTACCATTGTTATTTAAAACAAAATCAAACAGCAAAGCACCCTGAGACGATTAGAGTTCACACAATCAAATCTGGCTTACCTATTAAGCCACCAGAAGTAGAACACTTGGCATCAGACAGGTGACAACTACCATATTTCAAAAAGCCAATGGTGTAACTAATTGTTTGACATGGCAATGGTGTTAAATAATTATTTTATAAAATTCCATGGAAATTAAAAAAATTTGATAGAAGAATTGTTTTCCCTAGGACTCACACTCCAGGACAATTGATAATTATACTAAAATAGCTTAAAAGTTTCTTTTAAACTCAACAAACAGAGTATGATATCAATATTTTTAATAACTAAGATAATAGCTAACAATGTGTAGATGATAAACACTTTTCTGTATTATATATAATTTGTAGTTTTTATCATTTAAAAAAATAGAGTAAGTCATTCAACAACCATTAGAGATGATATACATAAGCAGACACATATACTTAGCACCATGGGACTGATTGACCACCTAAGCCAGCTCCTCCCGGAGGTAGGATATGATATGTGTTCATCTTGGGCATCATGTTGTCCTTACATGACACCACTTCTTTTCCATTCCAAATCTAACTTTTACAATCATAGTAAATGAACTTTGTATCAAAATGAGCATAAGAAGAGAGGACCTCAATGTGGAATTTATAATATGATATTCCCCAAGTGTCTCACCTTCCCATCAAAAAGGCTTTACAGAGATATACTTTTAATAAGTGAATAGTTTGCCAGACTGAAGTGGAGAAGCAGATTGGGCAGCGGTAAGCCGAATTTTTCATCATAGAGCTGGCAGTTTTGGAATGAAATCTATTAGCAGTGATATTTTACTTATTCACTCCATATTAGGCCAAATGACTAGGATGGAGATATAGACAAATACACAAATGTGTATGTACACACAATTGTATTATATTATATTATATTTGTAAATCCTGATGGCTGCTTTCAACCTTCAGCCTCAAGAGATCAGCTGTAGCAACAGAATGAGACAATGCAATCATGAGGATCTTAGATGACTCATGATTCTCCCCAGGACATTACTAGACGACTGACCTATTCTACAACCCAAGTGACGGAACAAGCTAGGGGAAAGGCAAAGCCTTTGACATTAAGTGTATTTGGATGCTGTTATGATCTGAATGTTTATATCTCCCCAAAATCTGTATGTTAAAATCCTGCCCACAAGGAAATGGTATTAGGATGTGGAGCCTTTGGGAGGTGATTAGGTCATAAGAATGAACCCCTCATGAATAGGATTGTGCCCTTACTAAAGAGACCCCAGAGACCCTTTTTGCTCCTTCTGCCATATGACAGCCTAGTGAGGAGACAGCTGTTTAGGAACCAGGAAGCAGGCCATCACAGGACACTGAATCTGTCAGCAACTTGATCTTGAAATTCCCAGCCTCCAGAACTATGAGAGTAAATTTCTGTTGTTTATAAACCTTCTATGGTATTTTGTCATAGCAGCCCAAAGATACTAAGACAGATGCAAACACTAACTATACCACTCACTAGCTAAGTAAACTTGGACAGATTAACCCTTCTGAACTATATATTGAATATCACAATACCTACTTTATTGGGTTTTCCAGATAAATATACTAACATGAAATAATTTATGTAGAGAGTTTGGTACATACTATTGCTTCTGAATATCATTACTGGAGATTACACAATGTTATAGGAGCTTGTGGAGTCTACTGGTTTGAAGTATGAGCTTCACAGTTACATAGACTTAGGTTTGAACCTCAGTTCTGCAACTTTATGGCTGCATGAAATTAGTCAAATTATTTACGTGGGTTGAGCTTCAGTTTTTAAACTTATAAGACACAGATGGTATTATCTCATAGTGTTATTACAGAAATGAGATTCTTATAAATAAAATATTCCTGGGCATACAGTAATGCTGTATAAGTGGTAATTACTATAACATTCGTTGTTTTTTTTTTTCTACTAGTGACCAGGCTACCACAGTGCAGACCATCAGTTAAAGAATATCTATTTGAAGGATATGTTGGAAAGTTAAAATTATTGATAATAGGTGAATATGAATAATATCCTTTTATTATATTCACTTATTATAAATATATGTAATATATAAAAATGTAAATATTAAGTACAATAAAAAGATGTATTAATTCTATCTTGATAAAGTTGTTTTTAAAAAATGTAATTTGCAACAACATGAATGAACCTGGAGGACATTATGTTAAGTGAAATAATCCAGATACAAAAAGATTTCACTTATATGTGGAATCTCAAAAAGTAGAACTCGTAAAAGCAGTGAGTAGAATGGTGGTTACTGGAGACCGGAACAAGTGAGGGGGACATAGGGGAGATACTAGTCAAAGCATATAAAATGGCAATTAGACAAAAGAAATAAGTTCAAGAGGTACAACATGGTACCTATAGTAATAACAATATGTGGTATTCTCGAAAATTGCTAAGAGTAAGTAGATTTTTAAGTATTTTCACAAAAAATTACGTCAGATAATACCTATGTTAATTTACTTGGTTTAGTCATTCCGCTGTCTATACATACTTGAAAACATCATGTCATCACCATAAATACATACAATTTTTATTTTTCAATTAAATTCAAAAAGTAAAAAAAAATGAGGTTTAGATAAGTGTATAAAAAAAGATATTTAATTTTACAGTAAGTCCAATAAGAGGTACTATTCAACCCTTATGAAATTTTGGGTTGTTTAAAGATGTAATGAGTTCCACAGGCCCTAATGAGTTTCCTGTCACTGGAAGCATTCGACCATGGGCTGATGTCCACCCTGCAGGGGCATCAGCAGAGAATTTGAGCATAGGATGAGTGTTTGATTTAGATGACCTTTGAGGTTATACTCAATCCCAAGATTTCTGATTCAGCAGTTCTGTAATCAGAGTGGCAAAACTGCCAGAAAAGCTAATGGAATCCAGCTGCCTTCAGTAAAAGCAAAGTATTAGATCAAAGGAGGTAAAATTTCTATTGTAATATTTTGATTCAGACAGCACTTATTTTGGAGAGCAGGGAAGATCCAGGTTTTGTGGAGCCTATGGGTTATAGTTTGTGTGTGTGTGGGGAGGGGTTCTTTAAAAATTAATAAATTACAAATGCAAATCTAAGTATAAGCATTAATATTTAGAATGAGAAAAGTTGACAAATGCCACAAACTTTGCAACATTCGAAAATATCATTATAATGAACTGCCTAACACACCTCTAAGAAACATATGTTGACTGCGGAACTTTAGGTGACCTCATCATATAATGGCAGTTTCACAATTTTTTGTAGAAGGAAGAGAAAGATATTTCAATCTTTTAGCATAGTTGGTTGAAATTAGTTTTAATTATTGATTGCTTAAAAACACAGTTTTCAGTTTCAAAACTCATTAGTAATGTCATATCAATATTTAGGATTATTGTCAACTTAAGGAAAAGTGCTCTTTAGTTTCATATATAGTTTCATGGTGATGATACTCACTAACCAGATTGTCTTCAAATTCCTGAAGTCAGGATGCTTGAAGTGTTGGCACAAAAGACATAGAAAGATTCCTGGAAGGCATCCCTATACTGGGACAGCTAGCAATAGCTTAACAGTCACAGAAGTAACTAAAAACCGCAGTTACATCCCACTAAACCCCTAAAAGAGATCCCAAACTAGCCAAGTCCAAAAATGCCTGTGGCTAACACAAAGCCATCTGGCATTATCACCTAAAAGAGGAGTCTTAACCCACTGATATCTCAATATTTTCCTTTTGCAAGTTTTACCAAACATATTCCTATGGAAACATGTTGCTCCATCCCCTCCTAAGACTGTGGAAGGGGCCCGTGTTAAGTGAAGCCCTGGAGCTCTTAGCTTCATGGTAAATAGATGCCTGTCAAAGGATGATTTTTAAAGACAAACTGGCCACTAGAATGCTAAAACCATGCAGCATGAAAAATATCTGAGGGAATTGGGGATTTTTAGCCTGGAGCACAAAAAACCTAGAGGGATATGATTCCTGCCTTCAAATATTTGACAAACTGTCATGTAGACATTTGTCCAGCCAGTCACTCTGAGTAGCTCTCAAGGACAAAACTGAGAACAATGGGAAGAAGTTGCAAGGAAGGAGGTTTCAACTAACTATAAGATAGAACTTTCTATACAATTAAAGTTCAAAAATGGAGTGGCTTGCCATACGTAATAATGGTCTCCCTGTCACTTGAAATGTTCTACAGAGGCCAAATGTCAAGAAGACTGCTATAGATAAGATTTCAACAATGAATAGAAGTTCCGGATAAATAACTTCCAAGTTATAGTTCAGTAGCTTTTCGATGTTCCCAAGAGGTTAGATTATCAGGGGAAAAAATCCTTCAATGTGTCTGTGGTCAGAGTAACTTACTAAGCAAATATCAAATGAAATGTTATGAAATTTTCCGTGTATATCAAATCATACCTCTGGAAAATATGCCATAAAATTATCTAATAATGTTGAGGTCTATCCTGTAAAATCGGCTGTATGCTTGGTATCACCATACAATCCTACTCATAACTTTTATTTGTTTGTAAATAATTTTTCTGTTGCCTTCTATGTGACAAACATGGTTATACTTGTTAGGTACTAGTAAATTATTAGTAAAACAGGTCATGATCTCTTCCTTCATGTGTCTTACAGTCAAATTATATTTCTATGTATGCAAAGTTTGTATGTTCAGGAAAGCATAAAGAGTCTATATAATTTTATTAAGCAGTATCATAAAAAGCATGAGCTCTCAAATCTGAGTTCAAATCCCAGCTATTCCCCTATGAAAGCTACTTAGCCTCTTTCCATTTCAGTTTCCTCATGTATAAAATTATACATACCCCTACAAGATTGCCATCAACACAAATTAGATAATGCCTATAAAATGTTTGGCACATAAATGCTCTGTAAACATTAGTTGTTGGTACTTTTAAATGTGTTGTTCACAAATCTTCTCAATGTTGTATATTGTTAAAAAAAAGAAAAAGGCTTTAAAGTAACAGGCTGTAACATTGAAGGGGCCAAAAGAGAAGCTTACATAATCCTAAAGCTATCTACTCTTCCCTGAAAATACAGTGTATTTGGAATAATTTATCCGAATAAAACTGTGGGTAAAATAATATAATCCTTAGTAATAAATGATGTAAAACCCTCTTCAGTCAAAAGCACATTTCAAGAGAAAGAAAACACTTTGAATGACTTTGTGTTAACGGTTAACTCAGTGGTTAACCATTAAAAGATGATTCTAGCTAGTGAAAATGCCTAATGAAGACCCTTGAAATGCTAGTGAAATTCAAGACCCTGAAGGACTTGAAATGCTTCCTGATGAGCATCACTGACACCAGATTTTTCAGAAACTTTTATTAGCTGCTACTATCTAAAGGACCCATATTTTTGAGATTTGTGTCTGTTGTTTCAACAGTTATATAGTAACCACCTGACACAGGTTAAATTGGTTTTTTATCAAATAATTAAAACCATAGGCTTCTCAATGCAGAGGCTACCATGATTGTGCAGTTGGACTGCAATTGCATCTGATGTACCAAAAATGTCAATTATTTTTATTGATTATATTTTGTTTATAGATTCCCACAGGCAACATGACACAGAAATAATATCCCTACTACACACAAAATAATTTATGATTGTTAAAAAGAGAAACCACATTTTTCATTAGGCCAGGGTTCTGCTCTCCTGGCATTGCATCTCTCACAGCAAACACAGGAAGATTCTTAAAGTTTTGTGGGATGTTAGAGTGTATGTGTTAAGATTCTTAAGCTTTATGGGAAGGCACAACAGTAATTGTCTTCCCTCTTCTGGCCCTTTGAGCCAATCTGACCCACACAAACACTAAGAATCTAAGTACTTAATCAGACTGCAGCTGAAGCCCCGAGACCTCCCTTCATTATCCCAGTTTCAGATTCTGCATCTGCTCAGCCCTAACCCTTAACACTTTGGCTACACTGAAATCTTTTACCAGCTTGTCTTTTGGGTTTCAGTCCTTGCAGCCTGCTTTCCCTAATGGATTATGTTTGTATTTGTCAAACTTTTGATTGCAAGTTA
The DNA here is from genome assembly GCF_000001405.40 of Homo sapiens. Classification (NCBI taxonomy): domain Eukaryota; kingdom Metazoa; phylum Chordata; class Mammalia; order Primates; family Hominidae; genus Homo; species Homo sapiens. The sequence goes on from NC_000005.10 coordinate 86,689,451, forward strand.
CAGAAACCCAACTCAGACTTGGTTAATAAAACTTTTATTAGCTCATGTAACTGAAAGTGCAGGTTTCACACACAGCTTAGATCAGGGGCTCAGACTATGTCTCTGGCCTCTCTTCATCACTGGCCTTTGTTTTCCTATGGGTTGACCTTTATTTTCAGCCCCATTACTGAAAACAGTTCCTGCTTTTTGCTGTGTTAAGACTTGGAATTTAGCCTCTTTTTCCATACTGGCTTATATGCCCACCCTAAGATTAAGGATGAGGTGGGATCACCACATTCAGAAGACCTAAACTAAGTTTGCAAGAAGGATGGTTCACTGCAGGAAAATCAGCTAGCGTATATTGAAGGAATAGGATGATGATTCTCAAGTTTTTTTATGCATTAGAATCACACTTGTTAAAACACAGATTGCTGGGCCCTACCCATAGAGTTTCTGATTTAGTAGATTTGGAATGGGGCCTAATAATTTGCATTTTTAGTAAGTGTCTGAGTGATTTCTCCTGTTGCTGGCCCAAGGACTAAACCTAGCTAGCCACTGGAATAGGAAATAAAAAGCTAGTTGTATAAAACATCAGATGTCCACTGTATTTATTGACCATATTCCTGTGGTATATGGCCTGCTCCACTGCCTCAGTTAAGAGCTTGTGTTGTTGCCCTTAATCCCACAGAAATTCTCTTCAATCTCACACATAGGCCACTTGGCCAGTGTCCTAGCCAAACAGTTGAGCTTGTAAAAACCTATGGAATCATTCATCAAAATTATGATCATATCTCCCAATATTCCATTTTACAGATCTATATTGGGCCCTTGTGACTCATAGTACTCTTTACTAAATATTGCAGGAATTTGCTTTTCAAACTATGGACTTTATACTGTCCTTCTTGATACCTCCTGTATTAGAACCACAGGGGCCATCAGTTAAAAATACTGATTATTTGGTGACATTTGAGACCTGTTTATCAAGAATGTTTGTGGCTATGATCTTAGAATCTAGAATTTTAACCAAAAGTGTATTAGTTTTTTTATCTATTACAATTTGAAAATTTAAAAGGTATATGGTTTTTGCCTTCACCAGATTTCTAAACACCACTGATGCCAGATTTCTCAACCTTGATTGCAGAATAGATTCACCTGGGGAAGAAAAAGCAGTATCTGGATCCTACCCCAAAACCAATTAATTATGAATCTCAGGAGATGGGGCCTGGAAATCTGTAATAAACTAACTTCTCTAAGAATAGAAGTTTCCACGTGAGAAATAACTTGATTCCATCTGGGGTAGTTAAAGAGAAATCTAAGTTTTAAATTTATAAACACTATAGTTCGAATAAACGTTCCAGAATCGCTGGAATTTCAGGGTTACAAGTTTTATGCTATTAAAAAAATACTATTTTACATAGCAGATCTTAAATAATATGACAAGTTTCAACAGGTGAGGTTGTTTTTTGTTGTTGTTTTGTTTACAAAAAATGTTAGCTTAATGTAGGAAAGATAAATAGTAATTTTTAGGTAATTTTGTCAAATTTATCTTTTACATGTTTATAACTTTCTTGAAAACACCTCAGTGTATACAATGGGATGTTTTGTGTGTGATATTTAGAGTTAGCTTAATATGAAATGGTTTATTAGAATTCTAATTAGGAAGCTCTTACTCTAGAGGTACCTACAAGTGCTTTTGTTTTCAGAATCATAATTGACAAGGCTTTGGTAATTGGTAGACTGTCAGAAATGGGTTTATATTGGATATCATAGTGACTAGCATAAAACTAGCATAAAATATTAAAATAAGATTTTTTGTTAAAGGTATTCAAGATATAGGGCTTAAAACATTTTTCAGAGATTTTCTCAAACTCATACATTGACAAGGTGTTAAGAATCCAAAGACTCCTGTACTTTCTTTAATCTTAAATTCAAAGGCCTAGGTTATATCTATAAATTGTCTTGTACTACACAATGAACACTGAAGGGTTTAGGTTGCCTGAGGCTAGCTATAAGAATAAGAGAATTCTGTATCTCGAGTCTTGGAGTTTCCCTCAAGTCAGTTTTTCATGCAAGGTATTGAATGAAACACCTAAAAATCAAGATCTAGGCATTCCTAGACATTTCAAAACAGATTATATTTAAGCTCATTTATTAGCAGAGTTCAGTTGATGAAGGTCTGGACACATGGAAGACTAGTTTGAGACAAAGCAGGGAGATAAGTTAATCCTCATTCAAAACTTCTTTGGGACAAAGCCAAATCGTCTTAGTTCTCAACCCTACCTCTGGTCATTTCAGCTCAGCCAGTCTTCACATGCACCTTACCAAAAGTAGCACAGAACACTTTAATGTGGGTAGCAGTCTTGGTATTAACCCTGAACCACTTTGCCTCTGACCATCTCCCCTGCTTCTCCCTGGTATGCTGACTCTCAGGCTCTGCATGCTACCACACTCCTTTGCTCCTTGGGGAGATCTTTTCTCAAGCTTCCCTCTTGACTTCTGTACCATGACTGGTCTCTATGTTCCTTTTTATTGGGCACACATTCTGGTTTACAGAGGAATAAGAAATTTTTTGACTGAGTCACTTTCTTGGCCCTGATAGGATTAGCATATTATTTTAGCTAATTGTTCAACTGGTGAAAATTTATCAGCATTATACAGGTTAAACATCCTTTATCTGAAACGCTTTGGACCAGAAATGCTTCAGATTTCAGATTTTTTGGATTTTGGAATATTTGCATATATATAATAAGCTATCTTGGGATGGGACCCAAGTCTCAACATGAAATGCACTTATGTTTCACATATATCTTATACATATAACCTGAAAGTAACTTAATACAATTTTTAATTAATTCTGTGCATGAAACTAATTGTGTACACTGAACCTCAGAAAGCAAAAGTGTTCACTATCTCAGTCATCCATGTAGCCAGCCTGTGATTGTTTGGCAACACCATCATTTGTGACTCTGAAAATATATAATACTGCTAAGCAACTATTTCCTTATACTTATTCACACATAAGTATTTAACAGGAAAAAGGATGACATACCATTGATACAGTGAAAAGATCATGCATTCATGGTAACTAAGCAGCACAGTAACATCACCAGAATACTTGGATCAGCTGTTAAACTTCAGCAAAAACACACAACAGCAGGCTTTCAGTCTCCAGCTATGATGCTGTGTTTTATGAAAAGGTTATGTACACTGTATTTTTTTTTTTTTTTGAGATGGAGTCTCGCTCTGTCGCCCAGGCTGGAGTGATCTCGGCTCACAGCAAGCTCCGCCTCCCGAGTTCACGCCATTCTCCTGCCTCAGCCTCCCCTTGTACACTGTATTTTTTTTTTTTTTTTTTTTTTTTTTTTGAGATGGAGTCTCGCTCTATCGCCCAGGCTGGAGTGATCTCGGCTCACAGCAAGCTCCGCCTCCCGAGTTCACGCCATTCTCCTGCCTCAGCCTCCCCATACTGTATTTTTTTGTTTTTTTTTTTTTGTTGTTGTTGTTGTTTGCGATGCAGTATCGCTCTGTTGCCTAGGCTGGAGTGCAGTGGCACGATCTCGGCTCACTGCAAGCTCCGCCTCCCGGGTTCACGCCATTCTCCTGCCGCAGCCTCCCCAGCAACTGGAACTACAGGCGCACGCCGACACGCCCAGCTAATTTTTTGTATTTTTAGTAAAGACGGGGTTTCACTGTGTTAGCCAGGATGGTCTCGATCTCCTGACCTTGTGATCCGCCCGCCTCAGCCTCCCAAAGTGCTGGGATTACAGGCGTGAGCCACCACGCCCGGCCTGTACACTGTATTTTTTTTTTTAGGTGAGAAGAAACATCGGAGGCCATTGAGAGACCAGGAAGCAGGTCCTCTAAGATAAGGAGGAATTCTGCTGGGTGGCTCTTTAAAATGTTTTTTGAGTCATCTGCCTCATTAATGATGGGCAGCCTCATTAACATTTTGTCTTGGAATTCTCTCTTCAATTTTATAAATGGATATGATTTCATCACACTGCTCTAGTCCTTCAATAAGCCAATCACATATTTCTGGCATGTCGTCTATAGTCACTTTTTCTGCAGTGTTAACAATGGTATCTTCATCATCACTATTATCACAATCAACTTGATTCAGAACTATCTCGGCTGTTTTATGTTTATGTGATCCTTTTTGAAAACCTTCCTCACCCATGCCTCTGTTCACTGCTGCTAGCATGCTGTTCAAGAAAGTATTTTTATATTTATTCCTCACTAATCTAAGGATACCCTAGTCAAATGGCTGAATTTTTGAAGTCACATTTGGGGGATATTGCATAGCATAAACATATTTTTGACGAGAATTTCAGCTGAAAGATGAGCAGAACAGTTGCCAAGGAATAACAAAATATTGCACTGGTCATTCCATCCTGCTTCCCTGCAATGAGCACAAGCTGCTCACAGACGTTTGTGAAACCAGTCAGAAAAGATGTTCCTGGGGATCCATTCCTTTTCGTTATCATAATAACGGACTGGTAAGAAATTCATGCCTTGAAAACTTAAGTCACAAGCTTTTGATTATCACAGCAAGTTTACACTTATGTGTGCCTGCTGCATTAGCACATCCCAGCACAGTTATCCTGTCTTTGGCAACCTTAATTCCTGTAGGGGCTGTTTCATCAGCTGTAGTGAGTGTCTTTCTGGGGCAGTAATGCCGAAACAGTGATGTTTTATCAGCAGTATTGACTTGTTCTGACATCAGATTTTCATATGCAATTACCTTGGCAAACCACTTAATGAATTTCACGGTTGCTTTGTGGTCAGCAGATGCTTTATCGCCACAAATCTTAAAAAATTTAAGGCCCTGTCTTTTCTAAAATTTTTGTAACCAGCCTGCTGACTACTCACAGTTCCCTTCAATTTTTAGTTCATCATGATAAACCTTTGCTTGTTTTATGATCAGCATATCATTAGTGACATGTGTTCACTTAGGCTGACAGATACATTCTTTCAGTACATGGTCAAGATCTTCATTTTTAGCTTTATGCAGTGTTTTTCTGTTCTTCAATAACTTCTATGCATCACTTTCAGCATAGAACTTCAACAGTTTGTCCTTCCATTTCTTCAGGTCACACATGGTGTTCATTCTAACACCATACTCTCCTGTAATATGTTTCACACTTACACTGCAGTCTAGTTTCTCTAACAGCTTAGCTTTCTGTGCTGTAGATGAACATAAATGCTTCCTTTTCTCATCACTGTTACCCATAGAGGTATCTGCAGGCCTCTTTGGCATTTTCAACAACATCTTTACACCACAGCACAGAATAAGCAAAAATCATCATGGGTAATCCACATAGGTCTTGGCCCCATGTGGGGCATCAGAAACCTGTTGTTGGCACATTCGGCCTACACACTTGCCATCTTATTACTCTTTGTGGATGTGCTTGCATGGAAGAATCTGGGTGTGCTCAGGGAAGATATATTGTAACTGAAAAGGTTTACCAAGGGTCTTTTCCCTCAGGAACATCGAATAAACTGTATGTTGTGCACCTGCATGTTGATGGCAACCCATCATAAGAGGTCAGTTATGGAATTTTCTACTTGCAGCATCATGTCAACACAAAAAGTTTTGGATTTTAGCACACTTAAGATTTCAGATTTTCAGATTAGGAGTGTTTAACTATTATAGAAAATGTACTGCTAAAAAATTCCATTTTACCGACTGAGGGCTTTTATCTGTTTTTCATGTTTTCATAAAGAAGTTATGATAAGACTATTCATCATTATGTTTCTGAAACATGAAGTTCAAATACAAGGCAGATCAGTTCAGTATGGGACATTGGGCAAATGTATGGGCTTGAACCAGACTGGTAGCTCTGCAATCCCCACTCCCTCCCAAACATCTCTACCTGTTCTAGAGAAGAAGACAAAATAGATTATATTGACTTTTCCAGATCTAAATATATACATATTTACAGATGGCAATGACCAGAAGTGTGCCCTTTTGTCTCAGATAAGCACACGTCCTTGACATATCTGAATAGGTCTTACATATTTCATGCAATTATAAGAATATTCACAATTCCTTCTTTTTTCCCCCTTTAATCAAGAGAGATGGGAAATAAGAATACATGTAAGATCAAGAGAGCTAAGAGCATGTGCACACACAACCCACTGGTGTCTTCTCTTCAGATATATATGGCTCAAGTACTTCCACAAAAATAATGAACCATAAGATGACAACTTTGTGTCATGAAACTCTCTTCAGGAGTTGAGGATAAAGTCATTTTAGTGCGGAATAGAGGGTATATTTGAAAGTGATTTACAAATGAGTCAATGGCAAAGGCAGAAGAATAACTGCTGAAAATTTCCATGCACATATAAATGCCATTGTGCGAGGTGTTTTTGTTCACACATGGGACATCAAAACAAATGACAGTATCCCTGAGGGCATGCAGACACAAAGTTAAAGTGACTTCAGACAAGTGCTTGTACCTCTGTAAGCAGTTTATTAGAGCATAAAACATTCCTGGATCATCAGTGCTACATTACAGACCAAACCAATGAATCTAAATAAAAAAAAAATAGGAAAGGTCATTATGAATAAATAAGTAAAATCAGAGAAGAAACAATTAATTTGTGAAGTGAAACCCCAAATTTATGAGTTTGTATCTTGCTGCATTTTTCCATATTCCTCAGTTTTAACCACTTTAATGTAAAATAAAATTTAAAACCTTAGGTTGGGGAATTAAGAATGAAACTGGCTCCTAACTGGCTCCTCACTGACTCCTAACCTTCCAAATTTCAACTTAAATAAAGGTATCTCTTCTCATAACTTTTAAATCATTTTTAATATGCATGATTCATGTGCAATAGACTTATTAACAATTTCTCCAAAAAATAAGACCCTAGATATACTCATGATGTTTGCAAACATGGTTAAGATAAAAAATTTTAATTGTATTAAGTGCTTTCAATTACTTCATTTTTCTCTATTTTTAAGGAGCTTTCTGACTCTATTCTAACTATTGTTTCCTAAATTTCTGCAAGCATTCATAGTTTACTGGAGTAGACAAGCATGAAATTAATGCTCTGTAGTAGTAATTCACTAATGCCAAGAAAGTTTGTTGCTTGATTACTATGTAACACTGCTAGCACTTCAGTTCCTGATTTTCCTTCCATGAAATGATAGCTGCTTGTGGTCAGGAGTTTGTAATTCTTTGAATGTGGTCAGGAGTTTGTAATTCTTTGAACCAAGTAATTTCAATTTTGTAAACCAATAAATTAACTTGTTTGTCTTTTTTTTCTTAATACTAGAGGGGGACAATTATATAATTGCTTAAGCAAAGAAACAACAACAACAAAACAAAACAATTTCATTTAGTTTCAATTAACTCTTTTGAATGAATGTTTTAAATTTTTATTTCTTTATCTAACTGCTCTCTGATTTAAGCCCAGTTATAGGTACAAATGGTTTGCAGTATTTGTGTGTATCACCAATGAAATGATCATTTGGAGGATTTAGATGAAGCTTTTTTTTTTTTTTTCTTGTTTGAAGGGAGTAAGGAGGGATCTTGTCAAATACTTTTCTGTATAATGATTCTAGTCACGCAAGTGACTCAAATCTGTTGATAAGGCTGAAATTATCAGAGTAAACCTTTCTGAATCTACTATGGAAAAATCACAACGTTTTTGGAAGATAGTCCTCTTCATGATGTCTGAAACTCCCTAAGTAAATGTCACTTTGTAATAAGACTGACTTTCTTTGGTCTCCTGACCAGCCCTAAAGAATTGACAGTCAGAAATCCTTATATACAAAGCTTGCTGGTACAACTTGATTATAATATTGCAATTTTAATTTTGGTGTAAATGTTACACTTGAAACTTAAGAGTGTTGCATGCTTTTGGCGTTGTCTGTTAAAAAGGATTAATGAGTTATAGGTACCTAGGCTGCCTGCTATTGAATGTCAGACCACTTGCAACAAAAATTAAGATTATAACTTGCAGGATCCCATAAGCAGAGGGCTAGATACCCACAGGGTAATGGAAATATTTCACCCCACCAACTTTCAAATTTGACCTGGAGTTATAGAATGTATAAATCCTACTTTTACTCTTCATTGGGGAGCCTACCATTTCTTCTGAGTCCCAGAAGACGCACATCAGCCAAGAAAAAAGTAAAAATAATGATAATAATACAGAAAGCTCAGATGATTACTAGTTAGCATATTTTAGCAAAAGAATATTTTTAGTTAAGGAAGGTACATTGGATTTTTAGACATAATGCTGTAACATACTTAATAGACTAACATATAATGTAAATACAACTCATGTACTGGGAAACAAAAAATGTGTGACTTGCATTATTGTGATATTTGCATTGTTGAAGTGGTCTAGAAACCAAACCTGCAATATCTCTGAGGTATGCCTGTATTCATATTTCATCTACAATGTTTAATTTTAAAAATTAGGCATCTTAGAACCTGCTTTAATACTATCTACACTTGTTATTTCCTTACAAATACATTTTATATGATTAGCATATATGGGTCACTGTGTTTGATCACAGATTCAGAGGCAGTTAAGTGAGAGTTAGTGGAGGCAGAAAGCGGGTAACTGTGTTCTCTGTGTAGAGCAGAGTGACTAACATTCTATTGCTATTTTTTGATTTGTGTCATTCAGATCTCTTCCAACAAGATTTTAAAATCCTCAAGATCAGAGAATGTGCTTTTGCTTCTAAGTCCTCAGTAGCCCCCGGTTCAAACGAGTTCTTCAAAAATATTAATTAATTGAAGATAGTCTTTAATCCTTATAAACAGCTTTTAGGACATAGAGTTACGCCAGCTTTGGCAAAGCTAAAGGCACTAGGAATAACATTTATCGCTTACTGTTTTTAGGCCTGTTTGTGCCGCTTAAATGTTATACTCAATCTCTCTCTCCTATATCTCCTCCCTGTTTTATGTGATCAATACTCCACTTTAAGCACTCATTACCCTCATGCTCTCTCGTTTCAAAAACTATCTGGAAAAAATGCTCCTTTCTTCAGTTTTACCAATGCGTTTGCTCTGCCAGAGGTGTCTGTTTTCCATATCTCTAATGATGATACTAAAGAGTTGTACCTTCTGGCAAAGGTTCGTCTTGATATTGAAGTGCAAAACAATATGAGTAAGGGAAGAACAAGTCCCTGGTTCCTTAAAATTATAGCATGAGTAGACATGGAGACATCTAGAAAGTTGATCTTGGTGTTAAAACGTTTAAATATCAATAAAAAGGCTCGCCAACTTAGATGTCAAAAGTTAAAAAGATGCTTTTGGTTATTGAAATGTAACTCTGGGGGAAATATGCACTTATTAGCTCTTCGAAGAGTCGATACAAAAACACAAGATTCAAACATCTATGAAAGTAGGGCATTGGTCATTTTATTAGAGGTTATCAATTCATATTTCCCCTATACCATGACCTCACTGAACACCTCCTGCGACTTCCTCACCCCCCACAATCACACTGGACAATCCAATGTGTCTGCCCATACTGATGGCTTTCTCTCATCTCCCATTGGGAAGAAAATCAAATCTGCTTTCTATCTAGTGTTTAAGTTTTAAATCGGACATCTTGGTCACAAAGCTCAGAAGGATGTTCTGTAAAGAAGAGCATCTTGCTATGTAGGGATGTTAAGAAGTTCTGGGATGTGGGATTACTTTAAGGGAAAATAGGCTTATAATGAGGTCTCCAATATATTTTAGTAACTGAGGCCCCTCTTGGGTGCGATTCAATTTAGCACTGCCTTCTATTGAATATTATGCATTATCAAAAGTTATACAGTGAGGTCCCACTAAAATGCGTGTGTTCTAATTTTGACATGAACCTGTGTAATACAAAATACTGGCTAATTATTTTTAATTAACTTTAGAATATTGTAAAAAAAAGACTAATCTAAAAGGGCAAAAATGAAAAACCCAAAAAACAACAAAAGACTACAAGTAGTACATTGTATGTAATGCAAATACAGATTGTTACAAGATTTATTTAATCTTGGGTACTTCTCCCAAGTATTTTTATTTAACACTTTCATTCATATATATTAATTTGGAATAAATTAGATCAAGATGAAACCCTTTCTGAGTTCAATAATAATATCGAAAATTCTGTTATATTTATAAATTTTTGCTTAAATTATTTTTTCTAGTGTTATAATGTTTAGTAATCAGTAAAAATGCTCTCAGGAAGGATTTTATGAAGACAGTATATAGATCCATCTATCATTTGCTTTGTGTGGACATCTAAGTAATAAAGGTATAAGGATTAGAATCTGTTTTTAATAACAGTCATATTTTTAACTAAGGGGAAGATCCAAAGAGTGGACAAGTTCATTTAGACCTTTGGAAAAGTACTATTAAAAATGATTCATGTACCTTAATTATGCCAGTGGAGAGAAAAATTTACTCCTTCTTCATAAATGACACTTAGAATTTAATTTTAGGTGTTCTGCTTGGTGGGTGTTTGAAAATAAAGTTTGACAAAACTTATGGCTTCAAAGTTGATCTCATCTTCTTGTGACCTATATCTTAAAAATAAGAGTGAAGGATGAAAGTTACTGTGCTCTTTAAGCACCAAAGGAATGAATGATGCAATTTCTAAGCAATAAGAAATATGAAGATTGAATCTACTCAGTAAATAGATTGACTATGTTATCAGTAATGACTTCTGACTGATAAAGTGATATTTATATTATCAAAAACTCTAGAACAGAACAGATGACTTTTATTTTTAAAAAGTCCTGGAAAAATCTTTCATAGTGTTTCAATGTCACTAACATAAACAAGTTTTTTCTTCAGAACACTAACATCCTAAGTGTACAAGATACTCTACTCAAATTTTAGACCACCCAGTATTGTCATGCAGCATAAAGCAGTATCTTTAATGTTCAGAACATGAGTAAATATTTTCTCAAGATGATGTGTTGTTCCAGACCCAACTTAGAGAAGCTGGTTATCAGAAGTTCACCAGACAAATAGCTGGAAGAGCAAGGTGAGTTACCAAAGGTGGTAACTGTATTCTCCATGCATTCTTTGATTCTCTTTTGGATGAAGCACATAAGGGTACAAAGAGAATTTAACAAGAGTCTTGAAATAAAACTTGTCAACTTAAAAGCTTATGTATATATCTGCTTTTCAGACTCCTTTAAGATGCAAGTCAGACACTTTAATTCTCTTCTTCCCATGCTAGTAGCTCACTATGGTCTTTGAAATTTTGAAAGCAAGTCAGACATTAACTATTGAGCCAGAATCAAACTGGGGTTAAAGTGAGGTTGTGCTAGTGTTATGGGAGAAACAAAGTCAGTGATTTAAACATCTGAGAATATTGAAAGCAGGATAAAAAAAGGTACCAAATTACCAACCTCATTTTAATCCAGGCTTTTCTGTAGGCCTTTGGTAGAGTAACAATTTTTTGAAGGAATTGTGGCAGTTTCCCTTTTTTGTGTGTGGAACAGAGCAGGTGGTGAAACACCTTCTTTGATACAAAGAGAAAATGAAGATCAGACAATAGCAGTGGAACAGCCCCAATATGCTCTACTGGCCTCAAGTCAAGATAGAGCCAGGTGTCTCCTGGTTACAACTTACTGTAGGACCCTGGAGCCCATTTATTTGATAAACATAACAAAATATGACATTTGAGAACTACTTCAGTCTGACTGTTTGCTATTTAGTAAGTAGAGAGGTAAAGCCATTGCCAGGGAAACTTGTGTCCAGATTCATCTAAACATTTCCACCTAATCTAATGTCTCTTTAAAATTGAGTCGCTACATTTTTTTTTATTTATAATAGAAAATATTAAATTTTTGTGGGAAACAAAAGAGGAAAGTACTCGCAGTTAACAAAGTGCAAACCAGGGGAACTAGCATAGTATTTTAGGTATCGTCTTAATGTTCTGTCTCAATGTTTCTGAGCGAGGATAACTATTGCCAAAGACCTCTCCACTGAACTTTTCATGACATCAGTTGAAGAACTATGATAATGTTAACCTAGATCCTTAACTCTGCAAGTGTTATTGTTGCTTTGGTATATTTTAGACAAATTGATTAAATCATGTCTACTATGCAAATATGAACAATTATTGCAGCCCCCAAAACCAGAGTCTACAGGCATATATCTGATAGTTTTAAAAGCCATTTCAGATCTCTCCCAGCAAAATCTAGGTATAAATACAAGATGTTTTCTTCTAAGTAATGTCTTAAAAATAAATTTTCTTCCAGAATCCTAGCCATAGCATCAGCTTAACCAGCATTTGCTAAGTGCCTATTGTATACCAGGCATTGGTATAATCACTGAGAGAAATCCCATAGAATTTTAAAAATGAATGTATCTACTGCTCATTCAGGACCTGCCTACTCTCTCCAGAGCCAGGCCTTCTGCAATATGCTTCAATCATGGTGGCACCTCTAATAGCCTTGCATGATGGAAGCCACAAACAGATACAGGGACCACATAGTTTCTCTAGGCAAAGGGGTAAGAGAGAACGCTTATGGTTGTAAAACCCACAGTTATTTATGCCTTCTATTCTGTTATCTTTCTAGGTAAAGTGGAGAAAGTTGAAAGAAAAGCAGGTGATATAAATTTGTGTGAGTTAGCTCTCCTTCACTTCAGATTTTCCACATAGCACAGACTTGTGGATCTTGTGCATAGTGCATGAGAGAGCAAATGCAAGAAACAGTGATTGGGTTGAAAGAAAAAGAAATAAAGTACTGGGCTTAAAGCTTCCAGTAGTCATATGATACTTAAATGAAGTAAATTTAAAACGTCAACAGTCTTGCCAGCAGATCAGAAATATTTGTCTATGAGTTTGTGCCCATTATAAAATCTAGGCTATACCTCAGGTAGTGACTCACTGGAGTTTCTTCCATTGGGCTTTATTCTAGAGGTAGACATTTAACTGCAAATGCTCTGCTAGTTCTTCAAAGTTCCAGGCTGACATTAACTTTGTTGCTCATTGGAATCTTGTTTGAAGTGATATATTCACCAAGTGTATTCAAGAGGACAGTAAAAACAAAAACAAAACAAAACAAAAAAAAACCACAAGCCTTCTCCTCATGGTATATATTACATTTTTAAAAAAGCTTTTTGGTTTCTTTCTTTACTCGAGGTTCCCAAAGCTAAGAAATTGTAATGTGTGTCTTAGATATAATCATCAAGAACTTTGCAGTGATTGTACAAATAGCTGGAGTAATACCACAAATATTCAGAGAACTGCTCTTATTGAGAATAAATTCCAGAATGTTCTAAAGAGCTCACCACATGCACGTATAAGGTTCTTTAAGTTAGATGGGAAAGGCTTATAGAAAAATGCCTCCCTGACCCTGATGCATTTAAGGTATGAGATGGGATTGGCTGAAGGGTGATTTTTGTTAGGTTTTGCTCCACAATGTCTCAGATATATCTCATGCTTAAACAGCTCAACTATTTGCATAGTTGGTATTTATTGAGAACAAGTGATCTAGCATTTTGTTTGCTTCTTACTTGCTATTTCCTTGGGAAGACAAGACACAAACAATTTGGAAAATAATGAAAAATAGCATAGCTGCCAAGGACTTTTTCAGAAGCAGAAAAAGAGGTCAGAATAGTCTGTAAGTGTTGGAAAAGGCTTTGAAAAGGATTGGGAGTTAGAGTTGTCCCCAAAAGTTGAGTAGAATGTGAATAAGCTAGAAACTGGGAACCGAAGGAGAATAAATAGGAAAAGCAGCATGAGTTTTGACTATACAAATAAACATACCTTGGATCATGGAAAGACATGAAGAAACTGGCCTGAGTGGAGAATCCAAACAGGTTGGATGAATAGAGTGGCACCAAGCTGCAGGTCTTGAGACTTGGGATAATTCTAGAATTTAGAACTGACATTGTAAGAGATAGGAAGGATTGTTGGTCCTTGAGCTACAAATTAACAGCCTATAGTTATCTGCCTTATTGTACTTTCATCCTCTTTCTGAGTCCCGAATAGTGAACACTCAACCTTGAGTTGGAGAAAATTGGTTTTACCTTGTAGATGGAAGTGATATGCAGTGAAGTACAACACAAAAGGGAGACAAATGCAATAAAAGATATAGAGTTTTGGATATAAGATAAAGATATAAATAAAAGATATAAGACAGGCATTGGTTCCTATTCCACCTTTAATATTTTCTAGTTGTGTCTCAGAGAAAAAGAAGTTAAACTTTCCTATATCTCAATTCTCTTTAAAATGGAAATGGAAAACTTTTAGATTTTGGTGAGAATTTTAAAGATGATGTAAGATACCCAATGTTTACAAGATGATAAAGAGAAGAAAAAAGTTATTTAAAAATAAGATACCCAATGTAATCCCTGGAACCAAGCACACAATAAATGGTGACTATTAGAAAGACTGATCTCTTTTCCAAACATATCTCTCTCATTCTTGACTGGGGAGGTCTTCAAGATCTAATAGAATGACAGTATCCTTGTGTAGACTAATGTTATACTACTATTTAGAGTAACAACACACAGAGCACTATGCAACACAAAGAGTCCTATAAAAAAGCATTGAAGGAGTAGATTAAGAGACCCCCCAAAAATTTGTTTTTGAGTTGGCCTAGGATGGACCTTAAAAAATATGATTGTGAAAAGAGGCATTGTCAATTTCTTATCTCAAGATCTTCCTCAATGTAAATCAGAAATTTATTTTTTAATTGAATTCTCTGCTAGAAGTTGTCATATTGAGAAAATTTAAGAAAACTTTAATTTTCCTTTAATTTAAAATTTTTAACTTAAAGTTTTCTTTAATTTTCTCATCCAATTGTAGTACAGTCTCTCACTGTGTCTTACCCTAGCACGGGAAAAGATTAGAATCCACTCCTCATCTTCTTTTAAAGGATTTTGTCATCAAAGTTCCTCAGGACTGGAAAGAATCTGCAGGTAGCAGATTAACAGAATGTTTATTGTGGCACTATTCACAATAGCAAAGACTTGGAACCAACCCAAGTGTCCAACAATGATAGACTGGATTAAGAAAATGTGGCACATATACACCATGGAATACTATGCAGCCATAAAAAATGATGAGTTCATGTCCTTTGTAGGGACATGGATGAAACTGGAAATCGTCATTCTCAGTAAACTATCGCAAGGACAAAAAATCAAACACCGCATGTTCTCACTCATAGGTGGGAATTGAACAATGAGAACACATGGACACAGAAAGGGGAACATCACACTCTGGGGACTGTTGTGGGGTGGCGGGAGGGGGGAGGGATAGCATTAGGAGATATACCTAATGCTAAATGAAGAGTTAATGGGTGCAGCACACCAGCATGGCACATGTATACATATGTAACTAACCTGCACATTGTGCACATGTACCCTAAAACTTAAAGTATAATAATAAAATAAAATAAAATAAATTAAAAAAGAATTACCTCTCACCTGATTTTCCCTACACTCTATCCCACAGGAATAAATTAAAATCTCTTTACTGTTTTTAGTAGCATGGCATCTGAGCTGAGTTATTTCTCATCTGTAAAGATCTTATTTTTGAAATGATAATCTGAAGAATTAGTTTTTCTTGGATTCTAGCACCTCTTTCTTTGTTTCAAAGGTTTCCAAATTGTGTTTAGGAATTGGAGGGTAGAAGATGCTTTGTATGCTCACAATGACCTTGTGTTGATCGTTGCGGATTCTCTCAGGTTTTCACTTCAAAACCTTGACTGGGATGCAGCATAGGAATGCTAACATATCATTGTAAAGTAATATAGTAAAATGTATAAAGCCTGTGTTTGGAATATAGTCAAAAGTAGAAGTCTTTAAATATTTCTTTTTGTGAGCTGCAGAGCTGTTTGTCCTTCAAGATTAAGATTTATTGGCGGGTCCATTTGTTTAATAAATGTATTGAATTGTGGGCAATATCAAATTATATTTAGAAGCATTAAAGATTGGATTACAGTCAGATTTCATTCTTAAAGTTCCTATTAATACATTAATGACCCCCTCTGGGTTCTTTTCTTTAGAACTCAATTGACAAATTATAAACACATTCAGTAAAAATCATGTATTTTTTCCTTTTTTTCTTCAACTTCTCTTAACTTCTGGGGCACATGTACAGGATGTTCAGGTTTGTCACATAGGTAAACACGTGCCATGGTGGTTTGCTGCACAAATCATCCTATCACCTAGGTATTAAGCCCAGCATGCATTAGATACTCTTCCTCATGCGTTCCCTCCTCCTACTCCCATTCTCCAACAGGCCCCAGTGTGTGTTATTTCCCTCCACGTGTCCTTGTGTTCTCATCATTCAGCTCCCACTTATAAGTGAGAACATGCAGTGTTTGGTTTTCTGTTCCTGTGTTAGTTTGCTGAGGATAATGGCTTCCAGCTCCATCCATGTCCCTGCAAAAGACATAGTCTTATTTCTTTTATGGCTGAATATTAATCCATAATGTATATGTACCACATTTTCTTTATTTAGTCTATCATTGATGTGCATTTCATTTGATTCCACATCTTTGCTATTGTGAATAGTGCTGCAATGAACATATGCATGCATGTATCTTTATAATAGAATGATATATATTCCTTTAGGTATATATTCTTTAGGTATATATTCCTTAGGTATATGGGTCAAGTGGTATTTCTGCTGCTTCTTGATCTTTGAGGAATCGCTATACTGTCTTCCACAACGGTTGAACTAATTTACATTCCCACCAACAGTGTAAAAGCCTTCCTTTTACTCTGAAACCTCACCAGCATCTGTTGCTTCTGGACTTAATAATTGCCATTCTGACTGGCATGAGGTGGTATCTCATTGTGGTTTTGATTTTCATTTCACTAACGATCAGTTATGTTGAGCTTTTTTTTCATGTTTCTTGGCCACAGGTGTGTCTTCTTTTGAGAAGTGTCTGTTCATGTCCTTTGCCCACTTTTTAATGGTGTTGTTTTTCTCTTGTAAATTTAAATTTCTTGTAGACTCTGGATATTAAACCTTTGTCAGATGGATAGATTGCAGAAATTTTCTCCCATTCTGTAGGTTGTCTGTTCACTCTATTGATAGTTTCTTTTGCTATGCAGAAGCTCTTTAGTTTAATTAGATCCCATTTGTCAATTTTGCTTTTGTTCAATTGCTTTTGGTGTTTTTGTCATTAAATCTTTGCCCATGCCTATGTCCTAAAAGGTATTGCCTAGATTTTCTTCTAGGATTTTTATAGTTTGGGGTTTCATTTAAGTCTCTAATCCATCTTGAGTTAATTTTTGTATAAGGTGCAAGGGAAGGGTCCAGTTTCAATTTTCTACATATGGCTAGCCAGTTCTCCCAGCACCATTTATGAAATAGAGAATCCTTTTCCCATTGCTTGTTTTTGTCAGGTTTGTCGAAGATCTAATGGCTTAGATGTGTAGGTGTGCAGTCTTATTTCTGAGTTCTCTACTCTGTTCTATTGGTCTACATGTCTGTTTTTGTACCAGTACTAAACTCATGTACTCTGTTAAAGTACATATATTTTGATTTATCTTACATTTGTGAAAGCTTAATTCTCATTTTTTATAAAAGTTTCTCTCCTTCTAATCTGTATTTTTTCTTCTATGCCTGTAATAGTCTGTTATCCCACTGCTAATAAAGACATACCCAGGACTGGGTAATTTATAAAGGAAACAGGTTTAATTGACTCACAGTTCCACATGGCTGGGGAGGCCTCACAATCATGGCAGAAGGCAAATAAGGAGCAAAGTCACATCTTACATGGTGACAGGCAAGAGAGCATGTGCAGGGGAACTCCCCTTTATATAACCAGCAGGTCTTATGAGACTTATTCACTATCACCTGAACATCCTCTATGATTCAATTACTTCCCACTGGTTCCCTCCTATGACATGTGGAAATTATGGGAGCTACAATTCAAGATGAGATTTGGGTGGGGACACAGCCAAACTGTATCAGTGCCATTGTTTCACAACACAAATACCAGATAAACCAAGTTCTAAGAATATAATACTATAGAATCATATATTTAATGTCAAAAAATTTAATTTATATATGGAAAAGTTGAGATTAAAACAGTTTAAGAGATATGCTGGAAATGTTATTCATTGCAAAACTGAATAGAAATGCCAATACTTTTGAATACCATGAGGTCCAGTAGATTTTCCCATTTCACTGTATTATCTTCCCTAGGAAACTGAGAAAAGATATATTGTCAATCTATCGAAAAAGTATTTTAATGTATGTCCTTGGAGGATATTATAGGATGTGAGGATCCCTTTACTCCCAAATATTTGCTTTATAATGTATTTATTTGCCTAAATGTATGCTAGTAATGATTAGCTCCTTGAAATATTGTGTAGCATGTGAAAGCTGCTTTAAAAAAATGCCAATATTCCCTTAAATCCTTAGTACCTTAGAAGAATTATCACATTTTATTTGGTTGCTGACCTGAGAAATACTGTAAGGAAGTGAACATTTGTGTTAGAGGGAGGAAATATGCAAGAGGTCATTTCATATCAAAGACGCACAATCTCCGATAGGAAGGCTGGAGTACTGTGAATGTGCATGGTGTAATTGTAGTAGTGGTAATGGTACACTGTGGTGAATGCTGGGGAAAGTATTGGGGTATAGGAAAAACATAGAGAGGAGGGCTGGAGTTCACCTAAATGTAGTGTATTTGTTGGACACCTAGGTTAGATGAAAGCTATAGGGAAAAAGAGTATGAAATAGTTTTTATAATTGTTAGAGAGAATGGGCAGAACACGATTTTAAATAGATAGCAATATATAGTTTAATTGTTGCCATGTAAAACAAATATTCTGAATTCTACCTAACAATTTTTCCAGTTTAAAAATGTACCTGAAAGCCTGAATTCTGTGACATATGTAAAAACTCGCAAGTGTGTACATTTGAACACAAACATAATAGAGGGCAGAGAGTTTCTGAGAACATTCCCAGATCAATACCAGTGATTGTATCTCCCATTAGATAACATGACTCTGGCACCAGATGACATAAGGTGATATAATGAGAGTAAGGTGATATAATAGTAAGTAAGGAAGAACTGGAAAAAAATTTATTCAAGAACTTCAAGGAATTTCATATGCCTGTACAAACCTGGATTTTGCAGCTGATGGAGTTTCTTTTCCAAGAGAGCTGTGGCAGACTTAACTAACAAACACTGAGAATTTACCTTGGGCTTCAAGTCCCCGGGGACATTAACTCACAGTTGTTGTGTGGGGTCCAAGTGCTACACTGTGGAAGATTTTTGTTCTTGACCCCAAGATGAGATGAAACTTGCATTTCATTGAATGGAATGAGAGGAACTTATAATTGGGGGAAAAAAGGGTGGGGGAAGGGTATAAAAGAGAGTAAAAGTAAACTAAATGTATCTGGAAATGGAAGGAACATGGTGACAGTGTATTAATATTTATTATACACAATGTATGTTTATTAATATAAAGAAATGGAAATAAAATGCATGATGAGATTCTATTAAATGTATTTGAACAATTTTGAAGGTCTCAGATTTGGACACATTTTTATAGCTATTATTAACTAAGAGTGAAGTAATATAATGAATATCTGCTGCAGTTAATCTGTTTCTTTTCTTTTTTTTAAGTTTCCTCAGGCCCCTCTACCTCACTTATCCACACAAAGTTTTCTTTAAGTAGGATAAAAATTCTTGACTTAATATATTTTCTGTGAAAATAAATGATTGTTTAGAAGAGCAAGACCATTTTGAGCTAGTACATTTCTAAAGTTGAATAAACTTTCATTGTCTCATCCCACTCACATTCCTTGCAAGACTGACATTTAAAATTTTCTTCCATATGCACCATTAATTTCAAATGTACCTTCTTAGATATTTCAAGTTCTCTAATATATGGAACTATAGACAACACCTTTATTACTTGCAAGTACATAAACTCTTTCTTAATGATTTCACTGTTGTTAGACTGTATTGAGTCACAGGAATTGAAATTGTCTGGGCTTAGTGCCTCAGCATTTGCAAGTAACTTTATCAGCATAAATACTGTATTTTACTGCCTACTCATCCTAAATAAATAGATACACTTTTGATAAAGTTATTGCTAGAATTTGAATAGTTACTCAAACTTTGGCTGGTCAGTGCAACTTTATTATCTAGAGACTGTCATTTCAAAGGCAATTAGATTTCTGTGATCTGAAGAACTGTGTATTTGATAGAGCAAATCTACACACTTTCTGCCTCCTGATAAAGCCCAGAAGCAAAGATGTTTGTACAAGCCCCGAGTTCTACAGAAATCAAGGGCTTCCAAAAGGACCATTCACTCTTCAGCCTTTGAGTGACCTTGAGTGAGGTGCTTGAACTCCCATGCTGAGTTAATTCACTGGCAAGCAGGTTTAATAACACCTACCTTGCAGCACTGATGTGGTATTAGAATATAAAGTCATAGAAAAATGCCTTACACATACATAGTTCAAACTCAATCAAAAAATAGCAATTGTGATTTGTAAGGACATAAAGTCAGAGCTCTAGGTTTCAAGTAGAAATACTTTGGAATGACCCATAGCAGATAAGAGCAATACCATGTATACTGCTGATTAAGAGTTTGGGGAAGGACATTATATAAGGTCCTTAAACTAACTTTCTTTCTCACTTCTTCCTACCCCACTTTTACCCTCTTGACTATACAGAATATTTGCTCAATATCTTTTATCTAATAGCTCTGTACAGCTCTATATTACTGAATTATATCAGCTTTTTTATATTTACAAAAAGTGATTTTAATTTGACATTTTCTTCTTTATCTGATTTTTTAATTTTAAATTTTTCTTTCTCATTTTTTCCTTAAATCTACATTCTCCTTAGTTTGTGGATTAATATCTGGACATAGTCTTTAGGTATGAGTCTAATAAGTGCTAACTATAACAGAATACTTTCTTCTGGTTCCTCTATATTATATCTTATTTATACAAATGATGTGTTTATTCATTTTTTTTAAAGAGCTCAATATTGCATATATAATAAATACAATGATTTTATGCTAAATGTATATAAATGAGACAATCCCCATTTAACATTTCTGTGATAGGCATTTTTCCTAAATATAAAAGTGGCTTTAGCCAGTGTCTAGATAATGTCATAAAGTATCCAACAACTCAGCACAACTAAATGGTGTCCTAAGGAAGTCCTCGGTAAGTAATCTGATGCACTGCACCATATATACACTTGTAGGAATCCACAGCAACCAAGTAAAACAGCCATGAGGGACACACGTAGATAATTTCTCTATGTTATCATCCTTTGGTCTAACTGAGTGTAAAACAGCCACTGTACATTTCTAAAATACCAAAATCAGGTTTAGGAAGAACTGTAATAGATGCTCAGTAAATATTTGTTCAATAAATAAATGATTGAATGAACAATCAACAATTCAGTGAACAATAAATGATTGAATGCTTTGAATAAAGTATTCTTTGTCTTTCTCTTATAAATCAGTGTGAAAAGGTTATTGCTGTGAGAGACTAAAAAGGTATTACTTTATTAACTAGGAAACTGGGACAGGGATTTATTTGAAAGAAAAAATATATCATTAAGCATTTTTTACATATTATTGCTCAGAATTTGGCCATGTCTTAATTTTTTTGCCCTGAAGCTCTGTCTGACATCATTGACCTATTATACTATTCCTCACTTATTGATCTGAAGTGTGTAAAATAGTGGGCCCTGTAGCAAAACTAAAGTATTAAGTTGATCATTAAATTTTCTTACTCCTTTTTCTATATTCTAATCTTAGCAACATTTTAATACATATCTTTAAGTGTTAATGGTTCATTAAAAGAGTGTGGACTTCTGCAACATCCTCTACAAAACTATTAAATATTATCTACATTTGTTTCTAGATTTACCTTATGTGTCAAAAGTGATTATGTGACTCCTTAGCTTGCATGTTCCTTGTTAGAGAGTTCAAATTCATTACAAGTACAGTGTTTTTTTTTCTGTAAATAGGCCACAGATTTCAAACGGTGTCTGCCTGATGCCAAATTAAGTGACTTTATATTCATTTTACTTTATTTATTAGTTTTTTCCTTCATAGCATTAACAATTTCCATAATTGTGATTTTCATCTATTTGTTTATTCTATTTATACCTCACTAGAAAACAAAGTACAAGGAAGCAGGGCTGTTTCTCCATGGGGATTCAAGCATTCACTAAAAAAAAAAGTTTTTTTTAGTGAATAGTTAGAGCTATTCTAATAGAGCTTAGAACTATTCTAATAGAGCTTAAAAGCTATTTAACAGGTAAATCAATAAAGGTATCCAAACTGGACAATTCACATTCCAAATAATGCATTTTGATTTGGCTACAATATCCTTATTGTTGCAAGTGTTTTAGTATTGAAATCTCATTAATTTTGTAACTAAGAACAAAGACATAGACTACATCTACCTTATATATGATAAAGTACTTAAAGGAGTGCTTGACATATTCTGAACTAAATATGTATTACACCCAATGTCCAAACACCCTGTTGAAATCAGGTGTTCTCAAAGTATTTGTCTGCTATATCAGGGCCAAAGAAGTTGATTTACTACTGTCAACAGTTGTTTAGGATAATGCAGATCTATTAGTAACTAGTTATTTTAATTCACTTACTTTTATTCAGTGTAGTCAGAAGTCACATTCAGTTTTGTGTACATATTTTGATTACTTAATTATAAATCTAAGCAAATTAAAGGAAGGACAGAGATCTTTTAGTCCTGCTCCATCATGGGCTCTCTTCTCCATCAATGATTAGTAAATTAAAATTTTCCAATGTGATGTTTTTTCTTGATCTGCCAAAAATATGCCAAGATGGATTATAAAAGACACTTACAAATTCAAATGCCTGTCACCTCTTTACTCACCTCACCTCTTTTCACCTTGATTACCACCATCTCATCCACCATATTGTAACTTGGCCAAATTATGTTACTGATACACAGTACATCATCTAGCACTTCAAAATAGCCCCATCAACTATTTGGGAAAACTAGTTAATTGGTTAATGAACTTTTTAAAAAATTTTATTATGTTGAACTTCTGAATCTCTTTTTATTTCCTGTCTGATATGGTTTTTCTGTGTCCTCCTGCAAATATCATCCTGAATTGTAATGCCCATAATCCCCATGTGTCAAAGGAGGGCTTCAGTGGGAGGTGATTAGATCATGGGGGCAGTTTCCCCCATGCTGTTCTCATGATAGTGAGTTCTCATGAGATCTGATGGTTTTATAAGGCAGTTTTCCCTGCTCTTGCTAGCTCTTCTCTCCTTGCTGCTATGTGAAGAAGATCCTTGCTTCCTATTCACCTTCTACCATGATTGTAAGTTTCCTAAGGCCTCCCCAGCCATGTGGAACTGTGAATCAATCAAACCTCTTTTCTTTATAAATTACCCAGTCTCGGGTATTTCTTCATAGCAGTGTGAAACAGACTAATACACTTTTTTATCTAATACTTAACATTTTCTGCCTAAATATCTAATAATTACTAGATTCCTCAAATGATACAGTGAGTTCATCCATATTATAGAGAAAGTTACAGAGCTGGTTAATACAAAGTTTCAGAAACCTGGAAATGAAAACACTTTACTCTCTCAGAATTCACTCCTCAGATCCTAATCACTTCCAAAATCTATCCTGTATCTTAAACCATAAAACTCTAAATGACCATTTGGAAGAAAAAGTTAAATCTGAAAAGGGTCACAAGACTTACGCTGATGTTTAAGTTGTAAACGCACTGCTTATTTGACCAAAGGAATCTATAAATTCATTAATAAAACAATTTTGACAGGGTAGTTTTTTCAAACAAGAGATAGCTTGGTGAAAACACACATCACCTAAAACATTTGCTGTAATATACTCTTTGTTTTAGGCCATTTTCAAGACCAGGATTTGTAGGAATCTGTAAAAGTTTATGACTGTTAATTAGAAGAGTCAATTAATCTAGGCTCTGATATTTCTAACCATGTTTTAAATGAATGTCAAGAAATTGTTGATCTTGGGAAAATGAATCATACATAAAAATGCACTAAAAACAAAATCTTTAGATGCTTAAATACATCAACTGCTTTTATGGATAAAATATTTTTGGATCAATATCCCTGGATGTCAGTATATAATAAAAGTTGAAGAAATCTATTGAACTGGTAAAAGTACACACAAATCAAAGGCTTTTTAAAGTTATTGAGGACAGTGTTTTCAATGTGTAGTAGATGTTGTATACTGCCGCTACTCTAATCTACATTTTCTTCTGTCACCAATCACCTTCTTTCTTAAAGGTGGCTATAAGACAAATTATCACTCCTAGATGAACTATATATATATATATATACACACACATATATGTATACACACACATATATATGTATATATATAGTTTTCTGTATAAAGTTTTAATATAATCCATAATGCATTTGTTTTACATATTAGCCTTCATCTTATTGCATTAAAATTGACTAAATCATATGAAAACTTAAAAATGAAAACTCATGCCTCAGTTCACAAGTCTAGACCTATTATAAGCTACTTTGGGTCAAACAGAGACTGGGTCATATACATTTTGGTGTGGTCATCTATACCTAGTACATTGCTTGACACTAACTAGATAATAGATGCTCATTGGTTAGCGGGGATTTCATTTGTGCAGCAAAAGAAGGCACACATACACTTCATGTTTTCTTCTCTAGAGTAGTTTTATCCACATTTTCAATAATGAAATCTAGTATTTTGTTTTTTACAATGATAAATTTATTTTTACGAGAGACGAACATCCAATAGCTTAAAAACATAATGAGAAGTTAATGTGAGAATACTTTTAAGTGTATTATTCTATTAATCACAACTACATCTACATATATTTAAAGATAAAGAACCACACATATACACATATATGAGAAATTATTCAATATACAGGCAATAATTGATGAAATACTCATCTTGGTGAGGTGGGGACTTTCAAAAGATTAAATTGGACTCAGATCATGAGTATCCTTTGATAAAAAATGCTTAGATTTTACCCACCATTAATAAGGGTGCTTAAAACCAGCTAGAGATGGAATCAATGGGTTTTGGAATGAGGAGTTGGGGGAAGGGGAAAAATACTTCACCTGAACACTCTTAGGTCAGCTGGGCATTACTCATATGCACAGCTATGAGTGCATATATGAGGCTAAACCAACATGGGAATAGCAGTGAACAAACTGAGCAAAATTCTATTTATGTTATGAAAAATGACTTTTTGTATTTTAATATCTTGTGTTTTGAATAAAAGAGTGATCTAACATATGGACTTGTAGACAGGGACATTTCCTTGAAATACAAAGAATGTGAACTTGATTTTGAGGAAATTCAAATACATTTTTATTGTACATAAAGGCAGATAGCTTTATTTAGGGTATACTACTTATTACTTATAAACATGTAAAGTAAAGCCTGTTGTATTAAAAAAAAAGTCTTATGTATAGAAGGTAAGCCCTTGTGTCTTGTTTCATCTTTTAAACTTTTTTATAGTACGGAATCCTTCCATAGTTTAACCTAGAACTAAATACCATCTTCAGATAGAAGTTTCAGTGAACATACAGACATGTATGTGTTTTGAGGGAAGATGTTTCCTGGCTCTGTAAGTATGAAATGATTTCCTAAGCTAATTCTTAAGGCTTATATGCTATAAGACTTTTCTTGAGAGGACATATTAGAACTGTAATATTTGAAAATGCAGAATGCAGTGGTTGATTCAAATACAATTGATTTTCTGCTGAGTCTGTGGGAGACATTCAGTATCACACCAAAACCCAAAAAAATCCCACAAATCTACATATGTAATTTGACACTTCTGATTCACCGGAGGCAGGAATAATGGTAGAGTAGAGGTAATGGAAGTCAAAATAACAGCACCTAAGTGAAATATTTGCATAATGAGTTTGGAATTGACACTACATTTTCTACATGTAGTAAGAATAGTAGAGTGAATTAAATGAAATGTTGAGGTAACAGCACTAGATCATATTGCACTGTATGCTGCAAACATTAAGCAATTTGAAAGGTTAATGAACAAAGCAATGGTTCTCTGTAAGGGCCTCCAGAAAATATTAGCAAACAACAAAATGAAACTGCCTAGAGCATGAGAAAAGATCAATAGAGCACTGTTTCTTTCTTTCTTTTCCCAGTGCTCTGTGAATGAAACAATAGCAACTTCAACATAAGGTGTGTGCTAAGAATTGCTAACTGGATGGATTAATTGCATTCAGGCTTGTCTCAAGCCAGCCATTCCTTATAACTTTTCATTAATCCTCAAGAAATGCCTTTTGCTTCACTTGTTTTTGCCAAAATCCTGCTAAAGTAACAATATAATAAATCTTTTCAGGACTTAATTATTATTAAACAAATTAGATACAGGACCAAAAAACTGTTTCCAAAGATAAAGCTGTTAATTAATGTAATTATAGGTTGGAAATATTTTTATCAGTCTGCCCCAAAAAGGTCAGCCATCTTCTATTTCTTTCCTAAACTATAATTTACTCCCTTGCCATTACATCTTTACAAAAAGTAAAGTTTGTTCAATGTGTGTTTGATATGGACCCTAGACCAGTGCATCTCAAACTTTAATGTGCATAAGAATCATCCTGGGATCTTGTTAAATGTGGATTCTGATTCAATAGGTCTGGGATGTCCATATACTCCACATTTCTAACAAGCTCCCAGTTGGTGCTGATGTTGCTGAGATGGGGAACACGCTTGGAGTAGTTACCCAAAAGGCTTCAAAAGGACCTGGTAATCATATTTGTGTACTAGTGCTCCAGGGAAGGGTAAGGGTGGAGAGAGGGAGGTTTAAGGTGGGTGCTGGGATGTTTGCCAAGAAAAACTGGGAAGAAGAGAGAGGGTAATCTGATACGCATTCCACATGTACCCTTGGTTTAATGGGGTGAGAGGAAATGGTTCCTCACCTGTGAAGCACTCCAGGCACTGTGCTCCCTGCTGGGATACAGTGATGAGCTTAAGATGTTCAACCCCATGCTCCTTTTGAAGCTTGAAGTCTGTGGAAGACCCTTTGTCTTTTCTGTCAGCAGCTGAATGATGGGATTAATAATGATAAGATGGAAATAATATATTCTTAGAATTAGATAGAGGTTCTAGTTCTCTTTCTCTTATGACTAGTTCTGAATGAATGAATGTGGGAAACAGCCTATCCGGGTCCAGTTTTCCCGTGAATTTTTGAGAGAATTATCAGGGTTCCTAAGACCTTCAAAATTACATGTTTATAACTATGAAGCATATGACTCTAAAGTAATACTTTTTTTTCTAATACCAAACTTTTTTTTAATTCTGCAATTTAAATTAGTCACCTTGGAAATTCACTACTCCAAATATATTAGGGGCTGTGCTTTTGGAATTTCCTGCAGAGCCAGTTTCAGAGTCACCAAAAAATAAAGTGACATTATTTTATAGTTCCTATTTAACTGACATAAAGCGAATTAACCCTTCAAACAGAGGAAAATCAGAAAAGTTTGAGAAGTTGTAAAGTCTTTGAGACTAGGTCCCATATCTACTTTATCTTTGTATTTTCCATAGCAGGATTTCTTAAACTGTTTTGTTTATAAGCATCTCCTGAAGTGCATGCTGAACATACATACTTCTGGGATCAACTCTAATTCTTATTTCTGTACGAAATAAGAATCTCCAAGATAATTCTGTGGGGTTTTGTTTTGTTTTTACCAAGGCAAATCTAATGGTCAGGGAAATTTAGGTAAATTATTCTACATATAGCATTGCACACAGTGTTTGGTACAGAGAAGTTGTTCAGCTGTTAACTGAACAACAGAATGAAGAATGAATAACAAAAACGTGTCACCTAAGTGGTAAATTGCCATTTCTGCACCTGTAAACAGAATGCATTAGTTACCTTTAGAACTTAAGACTTGTGTTTTCTTTCTCTTTTAAAGAATGACATCTGTTTTTTGATTGAGATAAGATCTCACTCTGTCTCCCAGGCTGGAGTGTAGTGGCAGTTAAGGCTCTCTGCAGCCTTGACCTCCTGGGCTTAAGTGATCCTCCAACCTCAGCCTCCCAAGTAGCTGGGAACACAAGCATGTGCCATCATGTCCAGCTATTTTTAAAAATTTTTTTTGTAGCAATAGTGTTTGCCATGTTGTCCAGGCTAGTCTTGAAATCCAGGGCCCAGGTGATCCGCCTTCCTCAGCCTCCCAAAATGCTGAGATTAAAGACTTGAGCTACCGCTCCTGGCCATATGAGTTGTATTTTCTGTGCTCCCATCTCAAATCTTTTCTATTCAGGTCAAGGGTCATAAATGAATCCTTCTGTACCACCAGACTTTAGGTTCCATGAGGAGAAAGACTGTTATACACTATTCTATCTCTAGTACCCCAAATAGCAACTGTACATAAATATTTATTGACTTGAACTCAACTGCAGTGCATAGCTTAGATGACAGTCTGGTTAGTTTAACTGTAAATAGTTCCGTGGTCATCACTTAAAATGCCTCCACTTAAGAATTTTTGTTCAGCCCAGAACAACTGAGTGTAATGTTCTGATCCCCAGAAATTAACTGTACTTTTCTCTCGAAGAGCAAACCTGAACTCAGAGCTATGAAATTCTTTGACCTCACACCTCTGTAACTTCTCAATCATGTGGTCACTGTCATATGTGCCTAATGGGAGTTTGTGTGCTGCAGTATTCCTCTCTAGTGGGTTATGAAAATCCACCTGTCAGAACACTCCACAGTGTGCTAGCATTCCTGCTCCCACAGAGAGATTGATTCTGTTTCCCTTGAAGCTCTGCTCTGGTCTTCTGCTTTCCAAGCAAATTTTCCGTTGTTTATCTGTTCTTTTTCCCCCTTCCTTCCTCCTCCCTCTTCCCCATTCCTCCTTTTTTTTTCTCTCTCTCCCTTCTCCCATCATTCTTCTCTCTAGATCTTATCTCTTCATTTTTACTCCTTCCAAAGCCATGGGCAGGGAGAAGGGTACATAGTAGGTAAGAGGACAGCATCCTGCTTTGGCTTATCCACCTGCTTAATCCTCAGACATGAGCATCAAAGGCATTGCAGGATCAGCTGGACTATGCAGGTGAGGCTGTGCCCACATGCTGGACCTTTGTCTGCAAATTTTGCTTGACAGGAAAATGCTCAAAGTTGGAAAGGCCACAGTGAACAGTGAAAACTCACCCAAAACGGGCTGGAACACTGGGGAGCAACTTGAGTCAAGGACGCTATCAGTAAAGAGAGATAGAAGAAAATTCACATCAATGCTGAGAAGAAAAAAATCTGGGGTAAAGTAAGCTGCTTTTTAAAAAGCCTCAAAGTTGAGCAAAATATGATCTATAGATAAAACACTAAATGCAAAAGAAGCAACATCAGCTAACAGATTTGATAACCAACAGCATTGATTTGGATCTGATTGAAATAAAAAACTGTAAAATCTGTATACTATAAAAAAGGTGCTTAGTGGCCAAATATGAAAATAAATTTGGATGTTTTCTTCCTACTAAATGAGTACAGAATCATTTAAGAAAAGTATTATTTTCATGAGAAGTTAGGAGAAAAAAAGTTTTTTTTTTCTTATTATACTTTAAGTTTTAGGGTACATGTGCACATTGTGCAGGTTAGTTACATATGTATACATGTGCCATGCTGGTGTGCTGCACCCACTAACTCATCATCTAGCATTAGGTATATCTCCCGATGCTATCCCTCCCCGCTCCCCACAACCCACAACAGTCCCCAGAGTGTGATGTTCCCCTTCCTGTGTCCATGTGATCTCATTGTTCAATTCCCACCTATGAGTGAGAATATGCGGTGTTTGGTTTTTTGTTCTTGCGATAGTTTACTGAGAATGATGATTTCCAATTTCATCCATGTCCCTACAAAGGACATGAACTCATCGTTTTTTATGGCTGCATAGTATTCCATGGTGTATATGTGCCACATTTTCTTAATCCAGTCTATCATTGTTGGACATTTGGGTGGTTCCAAGTCTTTGCTATTGTGAATAGTGCCCCAAGAAACATACGTGTGCATGTGTCTTTATAGCAGCATGATTGATAGTCCTTTGGGTATATACCCAGTAATGGGATGGCTGGGTCAAATGGTATTTCTAGTTCTAGATCCCTGAGGAATCGCCACACTGACTTCCACAATGGTTGAACTAGTTTACAGTCCCAGAAAAAAAGTTTTTTGATAAAAGATTTGGTTAAGCCCTGGGAGCAGATCTGGATCCAATTCCAACTCTGTTTATTTACTAACTTAAAACAACCAAGCCTCAGTTCCCAGAAGAGAAAAAATTATTGTACCTATATTTGTAGGGCTGCTGTGAACAGTAAATGAGTTAATATTTGTACATCTGGAATAACATTTTGGTGTATTAGCTGATATATTTCCAGGGAGAATTTAGCACAATGTCAAACTACAAATGTAAATTCTTATTCTTGGAGTACCTAATAGATGTGAATGAATATCTACTGAATCAGATCTTTATGTCACAGAGGCTGAAGCATACCCTGGGATAGGAGAAAAGATGGGCAAGGTGGAAAGGAGAGTACTGATGTTAATGAGACAGAAAACCTGAGAAAATGTAGGAAGGAGGGCACACCCTTCCTTGACCTTCATAGAGAAATATAGTTCCCTCCTATATGCTTGGTAATCTCAGATTATAGAGAACAGCAACATGTTGTAAGAGTAGCAGAGTAGAAGCACTGAATGTTATGTTAGAGGATTTTGAGGCTGACAAGTTCCCACCCATGCATGGTACAGGAGCAGCTGACTGTTTCCCAGTGTAATCAGCACTGGAGCAGAGGGGACACTGAGAGTTCTAGATCTGGAGGGCTATTGCGGTGCAGGTGGAGAATGCAACAGTAGGTGCCAGGGAATCAAGTAAGACCAAAAAATGCTAGTGAAAAATAACCGTCTCAATCAAATGAGACAATGAAGACCCCAGGAGAGGTTAACCTAGATAGAACACAGCTGAGGACAAAATACTTTCTTTGCCCAAAAACTGGATACTGCATAAATATCTCCAGCTGCCCTCCAGTGCCTACCACAATACCAAGAAAACTGAAGGGAGAGTGGAAGAAACCCTGAATGGACTTAGTTCATCCAGAGATTAGGATTCCATCTTTGCCACCAGTGGAATCAATTTTGAAATAAAAGTTCAGTCATAGAAAAAAAATGGTTACATTTCTAGTTCACTAAATTTATAGTCAGTAAAACTTGGACTTTCTATACTTACAAAGGGCTAAGCCCTGTGACTGGCACAGAAAATT
Organism: Homo sapiens; assembly: GCF_000001405.40. Lineage (NCBI taxonomy): Eukaryota > Metazoa > Chordata > Mammalia > Primates > Hominidae > Homo > Homo sapiens. The sequence continues at coordinate 86,720,666 of NC_000005.10, forward strand.
AGATCTATAAAAGATAGCTTGTATTACTATCAAGAAGGAGAATTTGTGAGGTGGAAAGAATTGGAGGTTTAAGAAAATTGAAAAGCTTGTGCTTGGTAACAAGAAGGGTCTCAATCAATATTTGTTAAAAAAAATCATAGATTAAAGCTGGAGGCAAGGTGGTTGGATCATAACCTTATTGTGGCAGGAGCACACCTTAATCTTCTTTCGTTCCTCATAACACCTAGCACAGTTTTGGATCCATTGTTTTTTGCTTCCTACATATTTGTTAAAATAATGAAAATTGAAGAACACTATTGGTGATATTGGAGTAGGAGAATAGGGAAATACATGGACTAGAGCCTTCAGAGGGAGACTTATATTTATGAAGGTCAAGTCAGCGAACAAGACTTCAGAAGTCATGATTTAAAGAAAGGTGGAGGGTGAGCATGTTCATATTAAGCAGATATTTGTAGTAAATTGAGAGGAATGGAGATATCAAATATGGTAGAAGAAAACCCTTGAAAAAGATAAATTTGCATTTGAAGAGATAATCTATATCATAATACCATAATATTTCTCCAGAAAAATGAGAGGTTTTTCCAGCTATACCAAATATGTGTCAGAGGTTTTCAATATTTTTGAAATTTTATTTCCAATTGACAGATAATAATTGTATATATTGGATATTTATAGGGTACAATGTAATATTTTGGTATGTTTACATCACTGAATGATTAAATCAAGCTGAAATCAATCCTCTCTGAGATTGTATAGCGTGAGTACTTAGGTGCCAGGCAGTGAATGAGGGTTTTCAGTTATCCTAGTATGTTCTGTTACATTGGAATTCTTTTGTTGTTGTTGCTTAACTTTTTGTGTCATGATTCCTAAAATATTTGAATTAGTAATTACTCCTAGTTCAGAAGTCACAAAATATAATAATAAATATAGTGAAAAGTCTTCCACCCGCTCCCTATCCTCTGTGTCTTCAGTTTCAAGCAATCTCTCAACACATAGGTAATAATTATTAGGTTCTTGATACTTTGGATGCATCTATGGCAATTATAACTATATTGTCTTAACCCCACTCCTTTTTTCCCAAGACAGCTTCATATACACACTGTTTAATATCTTTATTTCTTTCTTTAATTTAACAATATATTTTGAAGATATTATAAATAAAATTTGGGGGGGTGTCATAATTTACCTACTCCACTAATGCTGGACATTTGTGTGAATTTCTATCTTTACAATTATTAATGCAGAAGTAAGTAACACGTGTGTCATTTTCACACATGCTAGTATTTATAGCATAAGTTCTCAGTTTTCTTACCCAGGAATTATCGGGCAAAGAGTTATACACTTATTTTGATAATGCAGTCTTTCCTTGGTATTCATGGTTTCAGGACCCCTACAGATACCAAAATCTGTGGGGATGCTCAAGTCTCTTATATAAAATGGTGTGGTATGTATTTGCATATAATGTACTCACATTCTCCGTTTATATACTTTAAATCCTCTCTAGACTACTTATAATATCGAATACAATGTAAATGCTATGTAAATAGTTGTTATACTGTATTTCTTTTTAAATTTGTATCATTTTTATTGTTATGTTATTTCTTCCAAGTATTTTCAATTGGTAGTTGGTTGAATCCACAGACGCAGAACCCACAGATGCTGAGGACTGACTGTATCCCCAAAGTACCCTTCATAAGATTTGTTTCTTTGGATTCATTTTAAATCTCATCACCTAGAGTAGATTTTCTTTGAGAAAATCCTCAATGACATCTGTGTTAGGCCATCCTTGCACTGCTATAATAAAATAGTTGAGACTGCATGATTTAAAAAGAAAAGTTTAATTGGCCCACAGTTCTACAGTCTTTACAGAAAGCAGGCTGTTGGTATCTGCTCCTGGGGAGGCCCCAGGAAGCTTACAATCATGGCGGAAAGTGAAGCAGGAGCAGGCACATCACATGGTGAAAGCAGGAGCAAGAGAGAGAGAGTAACAGGGAGGTGCTCACATTTTTAAACAACCGGGTCTCTTGAGAACTCACTCACCATCACAAGAACAGTATCAAGCAATGAGGCATCCTCCTCCATGACCCAAACACCTCCCACCAGCCCCACCTCCAACATTGGGGATTACATTTCAACATGAGATTTGGAGAGGGTATGGATTCAAACTATAACAACATCTAAATGTGACAAGACTAGAAAGTCCAAATAAGGGAGTCATTTATTAAAATTTTTCTAAGACTTTAAATGTTAAAAATAATGAAAGGTTACCACTGATCTTTATAATTAAGCATCACGACTGAACCAAATTACTCAGAAAGATAATCACAGAGTCAGTTGGTTTATGTTGTAACTCCACAGAGGGCCTGAAAGTCGATTTAATCTTAGGGATTGGTAAAGGGCTTGCATTTATTTGACAGGATACTTTCAGTTTACTAGGCACTGTAGAGTTATCCGTCTCTAAGACTCAGACATATTATGCTTCTCACGCTTTCTAAAATGGTTCAACCAAAATGTCACTGAAGAAAGAAGTTGGCATCAAAGTTAATAATTAAAAATCCTAATATTCACCTGCAGTGGAGAGAAACCCTAAGGATCATCATATGTGGATATTTGAAGATACTTTAGTAGACTACAATTTTAACTTAAAGGTTTAAACTTATGCAAAAATATTCATGTGTTTTTGTTTTGTTTTGCTGTTTATTTGTTTGTTTTTGTGACAGAGTTTTGCTCTTGTTGCCCAGACTGGAGTGCAATGGTGCGATCTTGGCTCACCACAACCTCCGCCTCCTGGATTCAAGTAATTCTCCTGCCTCAGCCTCCCGAGTAGCTGGGATTACAAGCATATGCCACCACATCCGGCTGATTTTGTATTTTTAATAGAGATGGGGTTTCTCCATGTTGGTCAGGCTGGTCTTGAACTCCACCCAAAGGTGATCTGCCCACCTCAGCCTCCCAAAGTGTTGGGATTACAGGCGTGACCCACAGTGCCCAGCCATTTCATGTGTTTTTGTATATATATTTATACATCAAATAATTTATCTGTAGGGCTTAGCAGTCACACAATAATCCTTAGAATATCAGCTCTAATGGGCTAATTGGGGAGTGCTTTAACATGTGTAGAAATCTTTGTTCAAAGTACAGGATGCCAAGAGGGGCTTGGTGCAGCTGTAGAATCCTGAAGCAAGAAAAGAGGTATAGACTGAAGAAAAGAACAAGGTCATACCATGGAGGTAGAGAAGATAAAACTCTTATTGGGCATCTGTCTGGGCACTGACACTCCAACAAAAACAGATGCATGGATAAATAAATAATGGTTATGATTTTTTTAAATCAATAGTTATTATAGAATATTGAAGATATTCCACTGTATCTAGTTTTCATTGTTGCTGATGGGATATCAATTAGTTATGGTCTTTATTCAGAAGTCACTTATTTTCTTCTAACTCTATTTTTAAATTTCATTTTTAATTGATAACATGATATTTGTACCTACTTATAGGGTACACGTGAATTTTGTCACATTCATAGATTGTATAATGATCTAGTCATCACTTCAAATACTTATCATTTCTATGTGTTGGGTACACTTCAACACTTTAAGTCCTCTTTTCTAGCTATTTTGAAATATAAATACATTACAATACATTATTGTTAACTGTAGTCACCCTACTTACAGTAGGACATTAGAACTTATTTCTTCTATCTCTATCTAACTGTGTGTGTGGTTTTTTTTTTTTTTTTTTTTGAGACGGAGTCTCGCTCTGTCACCCAGGCTGGAGTGCAGTGGTTCCATCTCGGCTCGCTGCATGCTCCGCCTCCTGGGCTCATGCCATTCTCCTGCCTCAGCCTCTGGAGTAGCTGGGACTACAGGCGCCCGCCACCATGCCCGGAGAATTTTTTGTATTTTTAGTGGAGACGGGGTTTCACCGTGTTAGCCAGGATGGTCTCGATCTCCTGACCTCGTGATCCACCCGCCTCGGCCTCCCAAAGTGCTGGGATTACAGGCGTGAGCCACCGCGCCCAGCCTAACTGTGTGTTAATACCCATTAAGCAACCTCTCTTCATCTCCCTTACCACACCAGACAATACAAAAACTATTCCAAGCCTCTAGTATCTATCATTCTACTCTCTACCTCCTTGAGATTAACTTTGTTAGCTCCCACATATGAGTGAGAACATTTGCTGTCTCCCTTTCTGTGCCTGGCTTATTTCACTTAAAATAATGACCTCCAAAGGCCAGGCGCGGTGGCTCATACCTGTAATCCCAGCACTTTGGGAGGCCGAGGCAGGCGGATCACGAGGTTAGGAGATCAAGACCATCCTGGCTAACATGGTGAAACCCCATCTCTACTAAAGTACAAAACAATTAGCCGGGTGTCGTGGCGGGCGCCTGCAGTCCCGGCTACACAGGAGGCTGAAGCAGGAGAATGGCGTGAACCCGGGAGGCAGAGCTTGCAGTGAGCTGAGATCATGCCACTGCACTCCAGCCTGGGCAACAGAGCGAGACTCCATCTCAAAAAAAAAAATAATGATAATAATAATAATAATAATGACCTCCAGTTCCATCCCTGTTGCTGCAAATACATGATTTCATTTTCTTTTATAGCCAAGTAGTATTCCATTGTGTGTATACATCACATTTGTCTTTATCCATTTTTCCATTGATGGACACAGGTTGATTCCCTAATAAACATGAGGACGCAGATATTCTTTGATATGCTGATTTTCTTTTCTTTGGATAAATATCTAATAGTGGATTGCTGGTTTGTTTTGTAGTTCTATTTTTAGTTTTTTTTTTTTTTTGAGAAATTTCCATACTGTTCTCCACAGTGGCTCTAGTAATTTACATTCCCAGCAACAATGTATAAGAGTTCCTGTTTCTCTCATCCTCACCAGCATCTGCTACTTTTTGTCTTTTTAAAAATAGCCATTCTAAATGGGGTAAGAGGATCTCTTATTATGGTTTTGATTTGCGTTTCCTCATGATTAGTGATATTGAGCATTTTTTTGTGCACCTGTTAGCTATGGTTATGTGTGCTTTTGAGAAATGTCTATTCATGTCCTTGGCCCATTTGCTAAATGGCATTATTTGGGTCTTCCCTGTTGGGTTCCTTGTATTTTTTTTTTTTTTTTTTTTGGTCTATTCAGGGATTCAATTTCTTTTTCTTTTTCTTTTTTTTAATTATACTTTAAGTCCTAGGGTACATATGCACAACGTGCAGGTTTGTTACATATGTATACATGTGCCATGTTGGTTGCTGCACCCATTAACTCGTCATTTACATTAGGTATATCTCCTAATGCTGTGTCATGTGCCCCAACCCCATGACAGGCCCTGGTGTGTGATGTTCCCCGTCCTGTGTCCAAGTGTTCTCATCGTTCAATTCCCACCTATGAGTGAGAACATGTGGTGTTTGATTTTTTGTCCTTGTGATAGTTTGCTGAGAATGATGGTTTCCAGCTTCATCCATGTCCCTACAAAGGACATGAACTCATCCTTTTTTATGGCTGCATAGTATTCCATGGTGTATATGTGCCACATTTTCTTAATCCAGTCTATCATAGATGGACATTTGGGTTGGTTACAAGTCTTTGCTATTGTGAATGGTGCCACAATGAACATACATGTGCATATGTCTTTATAGCAGCATGATTTATAATCCTTTGGGTATATACCAAGAAATGGGATGGCTGGGTCAAATGGTATTTCTAGTTCTAGATCCCTGAGGAATCGCCACACTGACTTCCACAATGGTTGAACTAGTTTACAGTCCCACCAACAGTGTAAAAGTGTTCTTACTTCTCCACATCCTCTCCAGCACCTGTTGTTTCCTGACTTTTTAATGATCACCATTCTAACTGGTGTGAGATGGTATCTCATTGTGGTTTTGATTTGCATTTCTCTGATGGCCAGTGATGATGAGCATTTTTTCATGTGCCTGTCGGCTGCATAAATATCTTCTTTTGAGAAGTGTCTGTTCATATCCTTCACCTGCTTTTTAATGGGTTTTTTTTTTTTTTTTTTTTTGTAAATTTGTTTGAGTTCTTTGTAGATTCTGGATATTAGCCCTTTGTCAAATGAGTAGATTGCAAAAATATTCTCCCATTCTGTAGGTTGCCTGTTCACTCTGATGGTAGTTTCCTTTGCTGTGCAGAAGCTCTTTAGTTTAATTAGATCCCATTTGTCAATTTTGGCTTTTGTTGCCATTGCTTTTGGTGTTTTAGACATGAAGTCCTTGCCCATGCCTATGTCCTGAATGGTATTGCCTAGGTTTTCTTCTAGGGTTTTTATGGTTTTAGGTCTAACATTTAAGTCTTTAATCCATCTTGAATTAATTTTTGTATAAGGCGTAAGGAAGGGATCCAGTTTCAGCTTTCTACACATGGCTATCCAGTTTTCCCAGTACCATTTATTAAATAGGGAATTCTTTCCCCATTGCTTGTTTTTCTCAGGTTTGTCAAAGATCAGACGGTTGTAGATGTGTGGCATTATTTCTGAGGGCTCTGTTCTGTTCCATTGGTCTATATCTCTGTTTTGGTACCAGTACCATGGTGTTATGGTTACTGTTGCCTTGTAGTATAGTTTGAAGTCAGGTAGTGTGATGCCTCCAGCTTTGTTCTTTTGGCTTAGGATTGTCTTGGCAATGAGGGCTCTTTTTTGGTTCCATATGAACTTTAAAGTAGTTTTTTTCCAATTCTGTGAAGAAAGTCATTGGTAGCTTGATCGGGATGGCATTGAATCTAGAAATTACCTTGGGCAATGTGGCCATTTTCACGATATTGATTCTTCCTATCCATGAGCATGGAATATTCTTCCATTTGTTTGTATCCTCTTTTATTTCCTTGAGCAGTGGTTTGTAGTTCTCCTTGAAGAGGTCCTTCACATCCCTTGTAAGTTGTATTCCTAGGTATTTTATTCTCTTTGAAGCAATTATGAATAGGAGTTCACTCATGATTTGGCTCTCTGTTTGTCTGTTATTGATGTATAAGAATGCTTGTGATTTTTGCACATTGATTTTGTATTCTGAGATTTTGCTGAAGTTGCTTATAAGCGTAAGGATATTTTGAGCTGAGATGATGGGGTTTTCTAAATATACAATCATGTCATCTGCAAACAGGGAAAATTTGACTTCCTCTTTTCCTAATTGAATACCATTTATTTCTTTCTCCTGCCTGATTGGCCCTGGCCAGAACTTCCAACACTATGTTGAATAGGAGTGGTGAGAGAGGGCATCCCTGTCTTGTGCCAGTTTTCAAAGGGAATGCTTCCAGTTTTTGCCCATTCGGTATGATATTGGCTGTGTGTTTGCCATAAATAGCTCTTATTATTTTGAGATACGTCCCATCAATACCAAATTTATTGAGGGTTTTTAGCATTAAAGGCTGTTGAATTTTGTCAAAGGCCTTTTCTGCATCTGTTGAGATAATCATGTGGTTTTTGTCTTTGGTTGTGTTTATATGCTGGATTACGTTTATTGATTTGCATATGTTTAACCAGCCTTGCATCCTATGGATGAAGCCCACTTGATCATGGTGGATGAGCTTTTTGATGTGCTGCTGGAATCGGTTTGCCAGTATTTTATTGAGGATTTTTGCATTGATGTTCATCAGGGGTATTGGTCTAAAATTATCTTTTTTTTGTTGTGTCTCTGCCAGGCTTTGGTAACAGGATGATGCTGGCCTCATAAAATGAGTTAGGGAGGATTCTCTCTTTTGCTGTTGATTGGAATAGTTTCAGAAGGAATGGTACCAGCTCCTCCTTGTACCACTGGTAGAATTCGGATGTGAATCCGTCTGGTCCTGGAGTTTTTTTGGTTGATAGGCTATTAATTATTGCCTCAATTTCAGAGCCTGTTATTGGTCTATTCAGGGATTCAAGTTCTTCCTGATTTAGTCTTGGGAGGTTGTATGTGTCCAGGAATTTATCCATTTCTTCTAGATTTTCAGGTTATTTGCGTAGAGGTGTTTATAGTATTCTCTGATGGTATTTTGTATTTCTGTGGGATCAGTAGTGATATCCCCTTTATCATTTTTTATTGTGTCTATTTGATTATTCTCTCTTTTCGTCTTTATTAGTCTTGCTAGTAGTCTATCAATTTTGTTGATCTTTTCAAAAAAAACAGCTCCTCGATTCATTGATTTTTTTGAAGGATTTTTTGTGTCTCTGTCTCCTTCAGTTCTGCTCTGATCTTAGTTATTTCTTGCCTTCTGCTAACTTTTGAATGTGTTTGCTCTTGCTTCTCTAGTTCTTTTAATTATGATGTTAGGGTGTCAATTTTAGATCTTTCCTGCTTTCTCTTGTGGGCATTTAGTGCTATAAATTTCCCTCTACACACTGCTTTAAATGTGTCCCAGAGATTCTGGTATGTTGTGTCTTTGCTCTCATTGGGTTCAAAGAACATCTTTATTTCTGCCTTCATTTTGTTATGTACCCAGTAGTCATTCAGGAGCAGGTTGTTCAGTTTCCACGTAGTTGAGCGGTTTTGAGTGAGTTTCTTAATCCTGAGTTCTAGTTTGATTGCACTGTGGTCTGAGAGACAGTTTGTTATAATTTCTGTTATTTTACACTTGCTGAGGAGTGCTTTACTTCCAACTATGTGGTCAATTTTGGAATAAGTGTAATGTGGTGCTGAGAAGAATGGATATTCTATTGATTTGGGGTGGAGTGTTCTGTAGATGTCTGTTAGGTCTGCTTGGTGCAGAGCTGAGTTCAATTCCCGGATATGCTTGTTAACTTTCTGTCTCGTTGATCTGTCTAATGTTGACAGTGGGGTGTTAAAGTCTCCCATTATTGTGTGGGAGTGTAAGTCTCTTTGTAAGTCTCTAAGGACTTGCTTTATGAATCTGGGTGCTCCTGTATTGGGTGCATATATATTTAGGATAGTTAGCTCTTCTTGTTTGAATTGATCCCTTTACCATTATGTAATGGCCTTCTTTGTCTCTCTTGATCTTTGTTGGTTTAAAGTCTGTTTTATCAGAGTCTGGGATTGCAAACCCTGCCTTTTTTTGTTTTCCATTTGCTTGGTAGATCTTCCTCCATCCCTTTATTTTGAGCCTATGTGTGTCTCTGCACTTGAGATGGGTCTCCTCAATACAGCACACTGATGGGTCTTGACTCTTTATCCAATTTGCCAGTCTGTGTCTTTTAATTGGAGCATTTGACCCATTTACATTTAAGGTTAATATTGTTATGTGTGAATTTGATCCTGTCATTATGATGTTAGCTGGTTATTTTGCTCGTTAGTTGATGCAGTTTCTTCCTAGCATCGATGGTCTTTACAATTTGGCATGTTTTTGCAGTGGCTGGTACTGGTTTTTCCTTTCCATGTTTAGTGCTTCCTTCAGGAGGTCTTGCAGGGCAGGCCTGATGGTGACAAAGTCTCTCAGCGTTTGCTTGTCTGTAAAATATTTTATTTCTCCTTCACTTATGAAGCTTAGTTTGGCTGGATATGAAATTCTGGGTTGAAAATTCTTTCCTTTAAGAATGTTGAATAATGGCCCTCACTCTCTTCTGGCTTGTAGAGTTTCTGCTGAGAGATCCACTGTTAGTCTGATGGGCTTCCCTTTGTGGGTAACCCAACCTTTCTCTCTGGCTTCCCTTAACACTTTTTCCTTCATTTCAGCTTTGGTGAATCTGACAATTATGTGTCTTGGAGTTACTCAAGGAGTATCTTTGTGGCTTTCTCTGTATTTCCTGAATTGGAATGTTGGCCTGTCTTGCTAGGTTGGGGAAGTTCTCCTGGATAATATCCTGCAGACTGTTTTCCAACTTGGTTCCATTCTCCCCATCACTTTCGGGTACACCAATCAGACGTAGATTTGGTCTTTTCATATAGTCCCATATTTCTTGCAGGCTTTGTTCATTTCTTTTTACTCTTTTTTCTCTAAACTTCTCTTCTCACTTCATTTCATTCATTTGATCTTCAATCACTGATACCCTTACTTCCAGTTGATCAAATCAGCTACTGAAGCTTGTGCATTCATCACGTAGTTCTCATGCCATGGTTTTCAGCTCCATCAGGTCATTTAAGGATTTGTGTACACTGGTTATTCTAGTTAGCCATTCGTCTAATCTTTTTTCAAGGTTTTTAGCTTCTTTGCGATGGGTTCTAAGTTCCTCCTTTAGCTTGGAGAAGTTTGATCGTCTGAAGCCTTCTTCTCTCAACTCATCAAAGTCATTCTCTGTCCAGCTTTGTTCTGTTGCTGGTGAGGAGCTGTGTTCCTTTGGAGGGGGAGAGGCACTCTGATTTTTAGAATTTTCAGCTTTTCTGCTCTGTTTTTCCCCCATCTTTGAGGTTTTATTTACCTTTGGTCTTTGATGATAGGGTTTTGGTGTGGATGTCCTTTCTGTTTGTTAGTTTTCCTTCTAACAGTCAGGACCCTCAGCTGCAAGTCTGTTGGAGTTTGCTGGAGGTCCACTCCAGACCCTGTTTGCCTGGGTACCAGCAGCGGAGGCTGCAGAACAGCAAATATTGCTGAACAGCAAATGTTCCTGCCTGATCGTTCCTCTGGAAGCTTCGTCTCAGAGGGGTACTTGGCTATGTGAGGTGTCAGTCTGCCCCTACTGGGGGGTGCCTCCCAGTTAGGCTACTCGGGTCAGGGACCCACTTGAGGAGGCACTCTGTCCGTTCTCAGATATCAAACTCCATGCTGGGAGAACCACTACTCTCTTCAAAGCTGTCAGATAGGGACATTTAAATCTGCAGAGTTTTTGCTGCCTTTTGTTCGGCTATGCCCTGCCCCCAGAGGTGGAGTCTACACAGGCAGGCAGGCCTCCTTGAGCTGCGGTGAGCTCCACCCAGTTCGAGCTTCCTGGCCGCTTTGTTTACCTATTCAAGCCTCAGCAATGGCGGGCGCCCCTCCCCAAGCCTCGCTGCCACCTTGCATTTAGATCTCAGACTGCTGTGCTAGCAATGAGTGAGGCTCCATTGGCGTGGACCCTCCGACCCATGCATGGGATATAATCTCCTGGTGTCCATTTGCTAAGACCCTTGGAAAAGCTCAGTATTAGGGTGGGAGTGACCCGATTTTCCAGGTGCTGTCTGTCACGGCTTTACTTGGCTAGAAAAGGGAATTCCCCAACCTCTTGCGCTTCCTGAGTGAGGCGATGTCTTGCCCTGCTTCGGCTCTCACTCAGTGGGCTGACCCCACTGTCCTGCACCCGCTGCCCGACAAGCCCCAGGGAGATGAACCTGGTACCTCATTTGGAAATGCAGAAATCACCCGTCTTCTGCATTGCTCATGCTAGGAGCTGTAGACTGGAGCTGTTCCTATTCGGCCATCTTGGAACCACCCCCCGGGTTCCTTGTATTAATATATTCTAGATGTTAGATCCTTGTCTAATGAATAGTTTGCCAATATCTTCTCCCATTCAAACAGGCTAACCCTTTACTCTGTTTTTTCTTTTGCTATGCAGAGGCTTTAATCGAGTTTGTCTATTTTTGTTCTTGTTGCCTAAGGTTTTGAGGTCTTAGCCATAAAGTATTTTCCTAGACCATTGTCCTGAAGTATTTCACCTATTATTTCTCCTAGCATTTTTTTGCTTTCTGAGTTTTATGTGTAAGTCTTTAATCTATCTTGAGTTGGTTTTCTTAATATGATGAGAGGTATGGGTTTAGTTTCATTCCTCTGCATATGGGTATCTAATTTTTTTCAGTACTATGTATTGAAGAGACTTATTTTCCCCAACATATATCCTTGGTGCTTTTATGAAAAATCACTTGGTTGTAAATATGTGGATTTGTTTATGGTTCTGTTACTTTGTTCCCTTGGTGTGTCTGTTTTTATAACAATATCATGCTGTTTTGGTTACTATAGCCTTGCAATATATTTTGAAATCAGATAATGTGATGTCTCCACCTTTGTTCTTTTGGCTCAGGATTGCTTTGGCTATTTGGGCTTTATTTTTTGTTTCTTTTTAGGCTCCATCTGAATTTTAGAATTGTTTTATCTATTTCAGTGAAAAATAACATTAGTATTTTGATGGGGATTGCATTGAATCTAATGATTCCTTTTAATAGTGTGGTCGTTTAAAAGTATTAATTCAGTCGATCCTTGGGGTGATGGGTTGTCTTTCTGTTTGAGTCCTCTTCAATTTATTTCAACTGTAGTTTCTGGTTTTCCTTATAGAGATCTTTCACCTGTTAGGTTAAATTCATTTCTGTTTTTGTTGTTGTTGTTTTGTTTTTTGTTTTTTGGGTTTTTTTAGCTGTTGTAAGAATTTGCTTCTTCATTTCTTTTGTGGCTATGTCATTTTTGGTGTATAGAAACACTGCTGATTTTTGTGTGTTGATTTTTTATCTTGCAACTTTACTGTATTTATAAGATCTAAGAGTTTTTGGTAGAGTCTACAGATTTTTTAAAATATAAGATCATGTTATCTGGAAAGATGGACAGTTTGACTTCCTCTTTTCCAATTTGGATGCCTTTTATTTCTTTTTCTTGCCTGATTGCTCTAAGACTTCCAGTACTATGTTTAATTGGAATGGTAAACCTGGACATTCTTCTCATATTCTAGTTCTTAAAGGAAACACTTTCAGCTTTTACTCAGTCGAATGTGAGCTTTGGGTTTATCCATATGTGACATCTATTATATTGAGTTGTGTTCTTTCTACACCTTGTTTGTTGACAGTTTTTTTTTCATGAAGGAATGTTGGATTTTATTAAATGCATTTTCTTTATTGGGATGATCATGTTGTTTTTGTCCTTCATTCTGTTAATATGATGTATCATGTTTATTGGTTTGCATATGTTGAACTATCCTTGTAAACTTGGGATAAATCCCATTTGATTGTCATGTATTAATTATCTTTTTGATGTGCTGTTGAATGTGGTTTGCTAGTATTTTGTTGAGGATTTTTTTGTCTATGTCCATCAAGGATATTGTCCTGCAGTTTTCTTTTTTTGTTGCATCCTTGCCTGTTTTTGGTATTAGTGTAATGCTGGCCTCATAGAATGAATTAGGGAGAAATCTTTCTTCTTCAATATTTTAAAATAGTTTAAAGAGAATTGATGCTAACTCCATGTCATATGTTTGGTAGAGATTGACAGTGAAGCCATCCAGTCCTGGGTTTTTCTTTGTTGGGAGGCTTTTCATTACTGATTCAGTCTCTTTACTTGTTATTGGCCTGTTCAGATTTTCTGTTTCCTTCTGATTCAACCTTGGTAGGTTGTATGTTTCCAGAAACTTACTTACTTCCTCTAGGTTTTCAAGTGTGTTAGTGTATAGTTGTTCATAAGCCTATGCTGATTTTTTTCTTTTGTATTTCTGTGGTATCACTTATAATATCTCCTTTTTCATTTGTGGTTTATTTATTTGGTTCTTTTCTCATTTTTCCTTGGTTAGTCTAGCTAGTGGTTTCTCAATGTTTTTCTTTTTAAAAAACTTTTTCTTAATCCTTTGTAATTTTATCTCTTTCATTTACTTCTACTCTGATATTTGTTATATCTTTTTTTCTGCTAATTTTGGGTTTCCTTTGTTCTTTTCTAATGTCCTTGGTATGACATTAGGTTGTCAATTTATAATCTTTCTACTTTATGATGTACACATTTAGCATTATAAACTTTTTTAGCACTGCTTTTGTTGTATCCCTCAGGTTTTGATATGTTGTATTTCCATTTTCATGTTTAAAAGCTGTTTAAAATTTTCATCTTAATTTCTTCATTGATCCAATGATTGTTCAGAACTATGTTGTTTAATTTTCATGTTTATACAGTTTTCAAAGTTTGTCTTCATATTGATTTCTAGTTTTATTCCATTGTAGTCTGAGATGATACTTGATAATATTTTTATTTAAAATCTTATAGAATAGAAAGCTCAGAAATAATGCACACACCTGCAACAATTTCATCATCAACAAAGCTGACAAAAACAAGCAATGGAGAAAGGACTCCCTATTCAATAAAAGGTGCTGGGATAACTGGCTAGCCATATGCAGAAGATTGCAACTGAACCACTTCCTTACACTATATACAAAAATCAACTCAAGATAGATTAAAGACTTAAATGTAAAATCTAAAACTATAAAAACTCCTGGAAAATAACCTAGTTGGTTAATGGATGGAAATAATAGATGGAAAATAACCTAAAATGCCAAAAGCAATTGCAACAAAAACAAAAACTGACAAATGGGGCCTCATTAAATGTAATAGCTTTGGTACAGCAAAAGAAACTATCAACAGGGTAAGCAGACATCCTACAGAGTAGGAGAAAATAGTTGCAAACTATGCATCTGACAAAGGTCTAATATCCAGAATCTATAAGGAACTTAAACAAATTTACACAGAAAGGCCAAACGTCATATGTTTGGTAGAGTTTGGGTTTAGTGAGAAACTTTAATGAAAAGTTTCTCACTAAATGAAAAAGTGAGAAACTTTAATGAAAAAGTGAGCAGAGGACATGAACAGGAAATTTTCAAAAGAAGACATACATGTGGCAAATGGGCATAGAAAAAAATGCTCAACCTCACTACTCATTAGAGAAATTCGAATCAAAACCACAATGAGATACCATCTCATGCCAGTTAGAATGACTACTTTTAAAAAGTCAAAAAAAATAAAAGATGCTAGTGAGGTTGCAGAGAAAAGAAAATGATTATATGGTGCTGATGGGTGTGTAAATTAGATCAGCTCTTGTGGAAAGCAGTGTGGCAATTCCTCAAAGAACTTAAAACAGAATTACCATATGGCCCAGAAATTTCAGTATCAGGTATATACACCAAAGAATATAAATCATTCTACTGTAAAAACATATGCATATATATGTTCATCATAGACTGTTCACAACAGCAAAGACAAGGAATACCCTAAATGCCCATCAAAGATAGAATGGGTAGAGAAAATGTGGTACACATACACCATGGAATACACAGCCATAAACAAAGGATGAGATCACATCATTTGCGGCAACAGGGTGGAGCTGGAGGCCATTATCATAAGCAAACTAATGCAGGAGTAGAAACCCAAATACCACTTATAAGTGGGAGCTAAACAATGAGAATACACAGACACGGTGAGGGGAACAATAGACATTGGTGCTACTTGAGGGTGGAAGCTGGGAGGTGGGAGAAGATCAGAAAAAAATACCTATTGGGTACTAGGCTTATTACCTAAATGTCAAAATAATCTTTACACCAAACCCCCATGACATGCAGTTTACCTATATAACAAACCTGCACTAGTACCCCTGAACCTAAAATAAAAGTTAAAAAAATTTTTTTGGAGATGGGATCTTGCTCTGTTGCCTAGACTGGAGTACAATGGTGCAATCATAGCTCATTACAGCTTCTGACTCCTGAGTTTGAGCCATTTTCCTGCCTCAGCCTTCTGAGTTGCTGGGACTACAGGCATGTGCGGCTATGCCCAGTTAATTTTCAAATTTTTTTTTCTTTTTTTCTTTTTTTTTTTTTTTAGAGATAGTCTTACTATTTTGCCCAGGTTGGTCTTGAACTCCTGACCTCAAGTGATCCTCTCACCTCAGCCTCCCAAAGCTCTGGGATTACAAGCATGAGCCATTATGCCTGGCCTGATACTTGATATGATTTTGACTTTTAAAAATTTATTGAGACTTGTTTTGTGTCCTAACATATGGTTTATTCTAATGAATATTCCATATGTTGATGAGAGGAATGTGTATTCTACAGGCTGTTGGATGAAATGTTTTGTAAATGTCCATTAGGTCCATTTGGTCTAAAGTGCAATTTAAATCCAATGATTCTTTTTTATTTTTTTGTCTAGATGTGTCTAATGCTGAGAGTGGGATTTTAAGTCCCCCACTATTATTGTATTAAAGCCTATTTCTTCCTTGTATGTAATACTATTTGCTTTAGGTATCTGGGTGTTATTTTTGGATACAAATATATTTAGAATTGTTACATCCTCCTGCTAAATTGATCCATATATCATTGTATAATTACTTTCCTTGTCTTTTTCTTAGTGTTTTTTATTTAAAGTCTGTTTTATCTGATACATGAATAGCTAGTCCTGCTAGTTTTGGGTTTCTATTTGCATGGAATATCTTGATTTATCCTTTTACTTCCATCCTATATGTGTGTTTATAGCTGAGATGAGTTTCTTGTAGGTAGCATACAGTTGGGTCTTTTTATATATTTGTTCAGCCAGTCTATGTCTTGTAAGTGGAAAGTTTAATCTTTACATTACATTAATCTTTACATTCAAGGTTATTATTGATATGTGAGGACTTATTCCTGTCACTTTATTAATTGATTTCTGGTTGTTTTCTATATCTTGTATCTTGTTTTGTATATGTTCATTTCTTTGTCTCTGCAGTTGTTTATCACTTTGCTTACAAAGTTCTTTGTAGTAGTAACATTTGAATCCTTTCTCTTCCTTGTGTGTTTACTCTACCAGTGAATTTTATACTTTCTTGCATTTTCATGATGGCTAATATTGTCTTTTTACTTCCAGGTGTAGGGCTTTCTTACGCATTTCTTGTAGTTCAGGTTTAGTGGTGAATTCCCTTGGCATTTGCTTGCTAGAGAAACACTTTATTTCTCTGTGATATATAAAAGATAACTTTGCTGGGTATCATATCCTGGGATGGCAGATTTGTTGTTTTGTTTTCTTCTTTCAGCACTTTGGAGATATCATCCCTTTCTCTACTGGACTATATGATTTCTGCTGAAAAAAATTTACTGTTAGTCTAATGGAGTTTCCCTTGTAAGTAACTAGATGCTTTTCTCTTGCTGTTTTTAGAATTCTCTGTTTGTCTTTGACTTTCGACAGTTTGACCAAGTTGCTGTAGAGAAGACCTTTTTGAATTGTACTCACTGTGAATCCTTGAGCTTCCTGTATCTGGATCTCTAAATCTCTTACTAGACATGGGAAGCTTACAGCTATTATTTTATTAAATAGGTTTTTATCCCTTTGGTGTTCTGTAGGCCTTCTGGGGACCCTGATAATTTGAATATTTGGTTACTTTAGCATGTTGCACATGTCACATAGACTTTGTACATTTCCTTTTTATTCTTTCTCATTTGTTTTTGTCTGACTGGGTTATTTCAAAATACTCAACTTCAAGTTTTGAAATTCCTTCTACTCTTAGATCTAGTCGATTGCTGAAGCATTTGAACATACTTTATATTTCATTCAATAAATTTTTCACTTCCAGAATTTCTGTTTGGTTCTCTTTATGACAGTGGCCCCCAACCTTTTTGGCACCAGGAACTGGTTTTGTGAAACACAGTTTTTCTGTGGACCAGTTGTGGGGGGATAGTTTTGGGATGATTCAAGTGTATTACATTTATTGTGCATTGTATTTCTATTATTATTACATTGTAACATATAATGAAATAATTATAAAATTCGCCATAATATAGAATCAGTGGGAGCCTGAGATTGTTTTCCTGCAACTAGATGGTCCCATCTAGGGTGACAGAAGACAGTGACAGATCATCAGGCATTAGATTTTCATAAAGAGTGTACAACCTAAATCCCTCACATGTGCAGTTCACGATAGGGTTTGTGCTTCTATGAGAATCCAATGCCACTGCTGATCTGACAAGAGGCCAAGACCAGGCAGTAATGAGAGTGATAGGGAGTAGCTGTAAATACAGATGAAGCTTTGCTTGCTCACCCACTTTCATCTCCTGCTGTGTGGCCTGTTCCTAACAGGCTGGTCTGTGGCCCAGGGGTTGGGGACCCTTGTTTTATAATACCTGCTTGGCAAATTTCTCACTCATATCCTGAATTGCTTTCAGTGGCAGTAGCCATAGACAGGCAGCTGGGAAGTGTGCATTTTGCCCCCAGGTGTTGGCTGTAGGCAATAGCTTGTCCTCAGGGCATTTGTAAATGTGCAGTGACTCCACTGTTGAGGGGTGTGGGATTGCTGTCCATGGCTTGTACTTCAGCCCTGGAAGGAGCACTCAGCAGTAGCAGCAGAGGTTGTGGTTGGGGAAGTCTGTGCTCAGGGCATGTGAAAATATATGGCAGCTCCACTGCTGGGGCCAATATGGTTGCTGTTAATGGCTCACATTTTGGCTCTGATGGCAGCAGCCAACAGCAGTGGCAGCTTCAGGAAGGGGATGTCAATGGTTTTCTAGGGACATGGAGATGCAAAGGCTATTGGGCCCCAGTGCAGAATGCAGTCTAGTGGCAGTTTGACACTCAAAATAGTTCTATGCTGTAGTTGCTTAGTACTCAAGGAGTGTATGAGACCCAGTGTGAGCTCCCTTTTTGGAGCAATGCCACCATGCAGTCTTTAGGCAGCTGCGTATGTTAATCTCAGTGCTCACAAGGGTCTAGGGGATTCTCCTATGGCTAGGATTGCAGGTGTCCCTGGTGGGGATGCAGACTGCTGGGGATTTCAAACTTACCCTTTCCCTGCATTGATGAGTTTTTCTACATTCCAGGCTAAGTCCTGCTGAGCAGGCTGCCTCACTTCCCTCTATTCCTTTCCTTAGGTGTTTTCTGTCACTCCTATGTTCAATTCTTGTGTTCTCTCTTAGATGATGTTTTCAAAGTGTGATTATCTACCCACTATTTTGATTTGTCTTTGTGGAGGAGGTGAGTACCAAATGCCTCTGGTCAGCCGTCTTGACGTTCTTCCCTAGCTAAATGTTACAGTTCTGTATTTGAACAGATGTAGTGAAATCCGTTTTTGTTACTGCAACATTTCAATAATGATATTTTTCCCTTTTAAAATTACTTGTATTTTTCCCCTGAATATGTGAGTGCTCTCTAAGATAATTCTAAGATGTATCTTTTCTAGTTTTATGTGTGATAATGAGTTTGGAAGACTAAGACAAAATTTATGTCATAGGCCTGAAAGCACATTATTGGATTACAGAAATTTGAGAGAGAAAGAGAGAGAAAGACAGACAGACAGAGAGAGAGAGAGAGAGAGAGAGATGATAGATGGGTAAATCTGTATTTCAATTTTCCTTCACTAAGATTCTTACACACTTTTCCTATAGGGATGAAATTTATTCAAAGTTCAGTGGAAGAAATCTGGCCTTGGCAACTGTGCATTTTATTTGCTGCCTGAATTGGAATAGAAATTATGGTACCCTAGTCCTTTCATTTAAAGTTATTTTTTAGTATTCCCAAGGTTCTGCTTTTAGCACAGTGGTAGAAGACATTTAAGTAATTCAATTATAATTTTAAAGTAGTATTAGGTCAGCATAAAACCTAGGCTGTGTTTATGCCCCAGTGACTGAGTCAAGAGTGGTAGGATTCAATATCTCTTAGGAGCCATACAATTATATAATTTCAGTGCATTGGAGAAATTTCTCTTCTCTAACAATGCCAGGTGGTTTATTTGGCTGAAGTTTTTCTGTCAACTGTGTTAAACTATTATTGTGTTTCTGGGTTGTTTGGGCCAAAGTTACTTCTAATCATGCTTCCATTTCATAAGCCTGTCAGTTATAATTTCTCAGAAATAATCTTATTATTTCTGAGATTGCCTACTGGGTCAAAGGGCAGGGCTGGTAAAACTCATGTTATGCTATTGCTGACCCAATCCATTATATCCTGGCTTACGACATTAATAATTCAAGATCTTCTTTTCTCTGTGTTTTATTTTTATCTTTGAGTAACACAAAAGTACTGTTAATGTTTCTTTGGGGTTCCTAAGAAGGAAAAACACTATTCAATAGTTCCCTCAACCTTTCTATCATATCAGGCCACGTGCTAGATACAATAGATATGACTATGTAAAGAACTGTCCTCACAGAACTTGCTGGTTTATACATAAGAAAATTATGTAATGAATTAAAGGGCTATGCACCTATTGTCAAAGCACTTGCAAGGAAGAATGGGAATCTAGAAGTGAAATTCATAACATTTGCCAGTAGGGTACAAGGGTCAGAAAAGGATCTATCCTGAAGAATTTAGATTAATGATTTCTTAGCTAAAGGAAATCTCAAATATTCCCACTGACAATGTGTAATAAAGAACCCTTGGGGGAAATTATCGGGAGGCTGACTTCTGATTATGAAGTTGCTCTCTTTTAGGCGTTGTGACCTAGGGTCTGTACTGGTTTCCAAGGACTGCTATAACAAAATACCACAAACTGTGTGACTTAACAGGGATTTATTGTTTCATAGTTCTGGAGGCTAGAAGTCTGAAATCAAGGTGTCCATAGGGCTGTGCTCTCTATGAAGGCACTATGGAAGGAACTCTCTCTTCTTTCTTTCCTAGCTTCTGGTAGTCTCTGGTGTTCTTTGGCTTATAAATGCATTATTGTGGTTCTCTGTCTTTACATGGAATTTTCCCTGTGTGCCTTCATGTCATCTAGTCTCAGTGCATGTCTGTCTCTATGTCCACATATCCCCTTTTCACAGGGACACCAGTCATATTGGATTAGGGCTTACTCTAATGACCTCATTTTAACTTGATTACCTCTGTAAAAACCCTATTTCCAAATAGGGTCACATTCTTAGGTACTGAGACCAAAGATTCCAATGTATCTTTTGGGAGAGGACACAACTAACTGCATAGTATGGTTTGTAGTGGATGCTGTTGCTTCTCTGTCCAAATCCTCTTTACCAGAAGTGGCACTCATTACCCAGCTGCTGTGAGTGTTGCCTGCAAAAGCCTCACAGCTGCACTTCTGAAGATTGCCTTTAGCCAAATGGCAGCCACCTCAGCTTGTAGGCTGCAACCACCCCAGACCTCTGCCAGGCCCTTTGCCTCAGGATGGGCTAACTTAGGGTGCACTTTGTACTCCAGGGCTTCCACTTGGGATCAGGCTGAAGCTAGTCTCCAGCTGAGATCACATCTTAGTGAAGCTCCATTTTTCAGACCTATTTTGCTTCCCTGGTTCCTGTTCTTCTGAGAGTACTCTCATCAATCACTTGAAAAAGAATCTCTGTGGTTCACAGAATGATGGCTCCCAGTAGTATCACACCTAAACCCCAGAACCTGTGAATATGTTAGGTTACCTGGGTAAAGGAGAAGAGTTGCAGATGGAAGTTAGATAGTGAATCAGCTGACCATAAAATAGGGAAATTATACTGGATTATCAAAGTAGACCCAATGTAATCACAGGGGTCCCTAAAGGTAGAAGAGAGAAGAGTTCAGAGAGAGATGTAACTATAGGAGAATGTCCAGAGAAGTGCAACCTTTCTGTCTTTAAAGATAGTGGAAGGAGACTGATATGGTTTGGATATTTGTCCCCTCAAAATCTCATGCTTAAATGTAACCCCAGTGTTGGAAGTAGTAGAGCCTGGAGGGAGGTGTTGGGATCATTGGGGTGGATTCCTCGTGAATGGCTTAGCATTATCCCCTTGGTGATAAGTGAGTTCATGTGAGATCTGGTTGTTTAAAACTGTGTGGCACCTCCCCATTCTCTATCTTGCTCTCACCAGGTGTTGTGCCTGCTCCCCCTTTGCCTTCTGCCATGATTGTAGGCTTCCTGAGGTACTCACAGAAGTACATGCTGGCTCAGTGCTTCTTGCTTTGTCTGCAGAACCATGAGCCAATTAAATCTTTTTCTTTATAAATTACCCAGCCTCAGTTATTTTTTTTTTAAATGAAGTTTCACTCTTGTTGCCCAGGCTGGAGGTGCAATGGTGCAATCTTGGCTCACTGCAACCTCCATCTCATGAGTTCAAGCAATTCTCCTGCCGCAGCCTACCGAGTAGCTGGAATTACAGGTGACCGCCACCACACTCAGCTAATTTTTGTATTTTTAGTAGAGATGGGGTTTTATCATGTTGGCCAGGCTGGTCTTGAACTCCTGACCTCAGATGATTCACCTGCCTCAACCTCCCAAAGTGCTGGGATTACAGGGGTGAGCCACTGCACCCGGCTGCCTCAAGTGTTTCTTTATAGCAACATAAAAAGGGCCTAATACAGAGACAAGGAGCCAAATAATGCAGGCAGCTTCTAGAAGCTAGAAAAGGAGTCTCCCCTAGTGACTCAAGAAAGGTACACAACCCACTCCAACACCTGGATTTTAGCCTAGTGAGACCTGTTTCAGACTTTTGACCTCCGGAACTATGAGATTATAAATTCGTGTCATTTCATGCCACAAAATGTGTAGTGTTCTGCTTTTAGGAAACCTGATTCAATGAGTCCTCCTTCCCAGGTACCACAGAGATAACATTTCCAATTGTCATATTTCCCCCAATTAAAAATGAACAAACATACACACAGTTTACTGTTCATATAAAAGCATAATGATCGAGTGTCTGAACGACATGGGCTAACTCTGTATTCCAAGCCTAGCACCATCATTTCCTACAAGAGCAAGATACTTTCTTAATTATGTTTTGGTTTCTTTCCATCTGTAGAAGGATGGCAGAAACAACCAACTTAGAGGATGGTTGAGAGTTAATACATGTAAAGCACATAGATTGTTGTAAGCATTTAAAAAATTTTAGCCATCTTCATTTCCATTTGCCCAATTTTTGCATTTTGCTTCTGTCTGTAGATAAAGGAGTGTTCCTGAAGTAAGACTGCAACAACATGATTTGGTGTGCAGAAACATTCCAGTTTAAAATTTGTATTTATCCAGTGTGGAAAATTCATCAGAAAAAAAAGACATTATATGATTAGGGAAACATTATCTGTGTTATTTCCAGTTTTATCACCAAAACCTTAGCCAACTGATTGAAACAAAAGAGAAAATTTAGAATTGTTTTAAAGTTTTTCAACTGTGTTTATGCAGAGTATTCTCTATAGAATAGATTTAAAGTATCCTTGGTTTCTCCATAGCATCATTTTTTAAAGTGTGTTCTTAGAGGTTAAAACAGAATTACTAGGAACTGCTGCTGAAAATGAAGCTCTCTGAGCCCTACCCCTTAGCATATAGGATCTACACAGCAATGTTTTTAGTGATTTCCTCACTACCCTCCATTATTTTGAAAACAACCCCCAAAGTTGCTGAGTTATTTGCTGTAACACATCTCAACCCTGCATGCCTCCATTTCTCCATTGTTAAAATCTGATAACCTACTTAAGAAAGACTGTGCACATTTTAATTTCATGAAATAATGAAGAGTGTTCCTGAAATATAATAAGGATTGGTCAGCCTAAACAGTAAATTTGCATTTAAGGATTGAAATGTCAACAAATTTCTCTTTATTTAAATTAAAAATTCTTCACATTGCCCCTAAATCATTGATGAAATTTGCATAAAAGTAACAGTTCAATGCTATTTTTATTGCTTGAAAAACATGGTGACCTGAAATATTTAATGTTAAAATATATTTAATGTTAAAATATAGTTAATATTAAAATGTAGTTTTCTTTCTAAAAACTTGATCTGTCCCAAGAAAGGCAAATTTTAAAAAAGCAATGCCAAGGCAACCAGTCTCCTAAATATGAACAAATATTAAAGAACTGGTGAAAATTCTCAGCAAGAAATAACTGGGTAGGAGGAAATGGGGATGGAAAGAAATTGCTGGGTTGATATTCTATTGGCTTAAAAGTCTTTATTGGTAATGTTGACATAGGAAGGCAATTGTCATACGTTTAATGGCACTCTCTATTAAGCAGTATATTTTGATGTTTCCTTCTCTACAGTATACTAACAATAAATGTGCCAATATATTTGTTTATATTTATATTTTAAAGATATATATTTATATGTTCATATAAAATATTTAAATGTTTAGATGCTAAATTATATCATTTAGATAAATACTATAAAATTTCAGAGAAGGAAAAGATCAGCATGAGCTGAAATAATCAGAAATGTAATGCAGGACATCATTACCTGTGCTGATTCTATTTGGTATTTTAAACATTTTTAGCCTGTGCATCTATAGCTTGATGTTTGTCGGAAATTGGGACTTTTTTTTTCATTTAATGTTCCTATGGATTTATTATTTACAATGACTAAGCCCAAAAACTAACAACTCTTTTTCTAGCATCAGTGAGATTTGTGCAGCTTTTTATATACTTACTTAAAAAAAAAATCTTGTCATCTTAATGGCTTAACCAGTTGAATAAGGATGCTGCATAGTATTGAGTTGACATAAGAAGGGGCTTTGCAAACATTCATTTGTGTGGATTTTTTCCCTGGTGGTACCATTTTAACTGCAGAAGCAAAATGTAAACTCTCTGAAACTTCAGAGCTAATATAGAGTTGTTTGTGTCTCAAACCTAGCCCAAGATGTTGCAGCCATTTAGAGTATTTATTAATTAGGATGAGGTTTTCAAATATCTTCAGCAATCCATCTTTCAGAGTTGTTATCTCCTTGAAAGAGTGTCAGGGTAAATTATGTTATTGGTACTGAAAGATGTCCAGTCTAATAATATCATTTGCAAAAGGCAATGCAGCACTTCAAAGGAAATATACTTAAGTTTCAAAATAATACATGTTTTTAAAAATACAAGCCTGCATTTTGAAATTACTTTTGTCTGTTTCAAAACTCCTGTTCAACAACATTTATGGAACTTTGATTTTCTATACAGACTTACTGGGGTTAGAAAAGAAAATTCAGAGGTCTAAGTCATTAAGGAGTTTAATATTAGGTAGGATATAGAATATAGAGCTAATTTTTATTACATTTTGAAATCAATTTGATCAATGTATAGAATGGGCAATATGCACATGCATGACATTTAAAAAGTATATATTATCTCCCAGTCATCAAATTTCATGAGATACCACCAGCCACCCGGCCTATTCTATCTTTCCAGGGAGGCAGATAAGCAAATATGCATGAATAAATGCTCATAAAATGTTGACATCTAGTATGAAATGAATTTGAACTTTAAACTGGCTGAATACAAAAAAGGCAAAAAAAATATGGCAATGACAAGTTTTACAAATTAGAGATTCTTGGATTCTGCTGGTGGTGCTAATTAGAGAAGTCTGGTTGTCAAGCCTGGATCAAGTTAAGGTTGAAGAAAGAGAATGATTGAGACAGACTTTATATATTAAGTATATATAATACTTTGGCCATATTCTAATACCCAGAGCAATTTGCACCTGAATAATGGCCATAATTCCTATTTCTCACTACTCTTATCAATGTGGTATTTATTAAATCTAAGAAACCGTATTTTATAAAACTGCATGCAACAGAGTATCTACTAATGTTCCACAAGGGAGTGGTATTCAAATTGAACGTGCATCAGAATCACCCTGACAGCTTGTTAAAGATGCATTTTCTCAAGCTGCACCCACTAGAGATTTTGATCCAGAGTATTCAAGGTAAAGTCTGGAGTCTGCATTTTCAATAAGCAACCCAGGTAATTATACTTCAGTAAGTCCACCACACAATTGGGGGAAGTCCAACATAGACAGTTACAATTCTTTGATGAGTTGTCCAGGCCCAGTGTCAGGTACACACAAAATGAATGTCAATATTTTAATTCACCTTCAGGCCCCTTTCTGGTTATTTTTTTCCATGTTTGAAACCACTGGAGAGCAGCTCCAAGACCAATGTTCAAACAACTTCCATTCAAACTCTAAAATTGCAACCATAAATTTAATGTGCATTGTTCCTTGCTGAATCCTTCATTTTTCCCTCACACAACATGTAGTCCAGTTTACATGTATAAATGAGGAGATTTCTATCAGCAATTTTAGAACCTTATTGGTAAAAATTAACCTCATGTATCTTACATTTTAATACAGGGGAAATTTTACTCATTCTTACTAATCAGAATTCTTTTTTATTCCTTTTTATTATAGAAGGAGCTGTGATCTGCCTTTGCAATAGGACTTTTTTATTTTATATCACAATGTAATTTTCTTTGAAATGTGACATTCATTGCAACTTAATCTAAGAAAATCACCTCAGTTGGAATTGGCCTTGGCATAAGCATTTCAAAATTTTATGCTGAAATTAATTGTGCGTATATAATATCATGCAGAGAGTAATTTTCTTGGAAAGTAGCCTTTCTTTTGATGGGTTACTAGGAATTAAGCATTTTAGCATTCTTTATTAATTTTTCAAAGTCACTAGGACCAAGGATAACAATTCATCATGTGCATACAAGGCCATTCTGTGTTTCCTACTCTTGCCTTGGGCTCATCATTATTAATCTGGAATTCCATTTGTTCTTCACTTTTTGAATATGTCTGTTTAGTTGACTGTAGTGCCACTGGCAGGACCATGTGCCCAGGAAATCCAAGACTCATATTTGGACGAAAGCTATGTCCACTTTTCAACTAGTACCCCTACCCAAATTACCATAGCAACCAAAAAATTGCAGATGCCTACATTCTAGAATCATGTTCTAAAGGGATGTCATCATTTACAAAATGTCTTTGTTGAGTCTGAATGGTTCAAACAATAGCAAAAAAGGATTATTTCTCTCTTGGACATTTCAAAGTACTATGACACAAAATATCCAAGACTTGTTATGGTGAGGAGCCAAGTGGAATGGAAAGGACAGCTCATCCCGGCGGCTGGGAGTGCATGCACACACATGCCCCCTTTTTCTTGCCTACTAACAGGATCTATAGAAGGCGTACATAATGAGTATGTAGGGGACTTGGCTGCTTTCAGTTAGGAATGAGACACTGATATGGTTGGAATATAGTAAGAGAAAAAGGGAGGTCTTTCTTAAAAAACGGTTTTGTGTAAAAATAGAGATGGCACTTAATGGATATCATATTAGCAGGCTCCCTGGACAAATACATAGAGCCAAAACTTCTCATCGATTAGCCACCTCTTCAAGTTTAGGGGTTGAAAATCTGAAACAACTACAAACATGGTATCTCTCTGAAAAGGAGATAACGTAAAAGTTATCACATATTAATATAATGTGTATGAATAAATTGACAAGCTGGTTAGAAATTAGAAATAAAAGTCTTGAGGCAATAAAAGAGGTAATAACATAGGCAAAAAGAGCTCTTCTTCTGGAGAGTGGTTGTAGATGGAGTAAACAAGTTTAGGTACTGAACTGAGAATAGCACATGGATAGACCAATTGTGGATGAAGGAGACTAAAGAGAGGTTTAACGAATATTGAAATGAACCTCCAGGTAGGTTGTATTTATTAGTTTGCTGGGAACAAGCTGCTTTTCTCTCTCCTGTGAAGCAGGAAGGCAAATTTCTAGTGGCTTTCCAAAGGAAATGGGAAATCTAAGGAAATGGTTTGATACCAGAGTGTTCTCCTTAGGTTTATTTTAATGATGGACTTAAAGATACTTTCCTATACTCATGAGCTATGTTGTCTCTGATATTCTTTGGTATATTTTACCAAAAAGATAGAATAGGTGCCACAAGTATTAAAAATTTTAGACTCCTCAGAGCATTACAAAAAACAAGCACAAAATAGAAGCCTAATATGCAGGGAAAGTCACTGACCATGCCCTTGGTACTGCTGATTGTATTGCAGAGCAAGAGATGGACCCTGAGGGTACTTGAAGCCAACAAGTTTCACTTCTGGAAAAAGACTTCAGAATATGAGTTTAAAATATAAAAAGGGAATTTGAGCCAAGACACAAGAACAAACTTTTTTTGACAATTATATCTTTATTATTCCTCTTACAGAGCTACATTTACTCTTACTAAGTTTCAGAGTCAGGTAGTAATTTACAGTAAGACTGAATTACCATCCATAACGTTAGATGTCCTTATTGAAACTTCAACATCATTTCCAAATATCAGCATTAGCATTGTGCTTGACATTCATTTAACGAAGTTACTGAAAATCTATTAAGTATAAGACATCAGTTATTTTTAATAGAAGTTTCTGAAAACATTTCAGCAAAATAGCCTGTTGAGAAAAATGTGTATGCTGAAAAAAAAAAATGAACAAATAGGAAAGCCTGGTTCACAAACAGGTGTCAGGGAAATAGACAGTACTTTTATAGTAATAACATAAGAACAAACTTCTTGAAGGTAAGTTTTATTAAATAATAGGACAACAACAAGATAAAATGACTTCTTCCTGATATTTATATATTGATTGCTGGCTGGTCATAAGACTGTTTTTAGGCAACGTGTTTTGAAAAACCAGAAAGTCTACTACCTTGAGTTTTCAGCCACGTGAGAATAGCAAGATTCAGTGTTTATACTTGATAGCATCTTAATTAGGCCTACAGGCCTCCCTTTCACA
Organism: Homo sapiens; assembly: GCF_000001405.40. Lineage (NCBI taxonomy): Eukaryota > Metazoa > Chordata > Mammalia > Primates > Hominidae > Homo > Homo sapiens. The sequence continues at coordinate 86,748,652 of NC_000005.10, forward strand.
TAACTACCTTCAAGTTTATGACAGCTCAAACTCACAATTATCATTATGGAGAAGAGAGAAGAGTTAAGCTAAAAACAGACCACTTTCAGAGGACCTGAAAGCAACGTAATCAGTCACCTATTGCCATATACAAGCCACCCCCAAACATAATGACTTAAAACAGCGATCATCTATTATTGCTTATGAGTCTCTGAGTCAGCTGAACATTCCTGCTGATCTGGGCTTGGTTAGGCTTATTTTAGCTGTGTTCATTCTTGGTCTGCAGATAGCTGACAATCACCTAGGGGCTGACTGTAGGCATTCCAGCTGAGATATGCTCTCTGTGTCTTTTATCCTTTAGCAGGAGGAGGCTTGCTCACAGGGTGGTTACAGGCATCCAAGAGAGTCAGCATAAATGTGAAAAGTTTCCAAAATATCAGATTCAGTCCTATGTAATCTGGTTTCCATTGCATTCTCTTGGCCAGAGCAAGTTGCAAGACAAGTCCAAATTCAAGAAGGTCAAGAAATACACTCCATCTCCAGGTAGGAGAAGCTGCAAAGAACTGTGACAATCTATGACAAATAGTATGTTCAAAGGGAATAATATGGGAAGATGTGCCCTCCGCCAACTTCTCAGGGAAAAATACAGCTTTTGTAATATTTAGTAATATAGACTGTCTAATATTTCTAGAGAAATCTATGACTTTGAGTTGAAATATCTGAGGCCAACACTCCAAGCAATTTTAAACAAGTGGTGACAGAAATTACCAGACACACATCAAGACTCAAGTATAAAGCTATACAATTTAAGGATGCTCAGCAAATGTTACTGAATTGACTGGGTAGTCCCTAAAGAGCTGAAGAATAAAAGATGTTATGAGAAATCCAACAATACCAAATATAAATTGCCTCAGGTTCTGAAATATTCAATAAAGTATTCTCACTGTAGTTCCTTCAGCTTAGCTGATTTGGACTTTGGCTGTGAAAACATTATCCTCAGTGTTTAAAAGGTTGGAAAATTCTACTGGGTCTTTGGCCCAACCTGGAATTAAATCCTGATGCTTAGAACCTCAAAGTCTAAAATCTTCTATTGTCACTTTACAGAGCTATTGAAACATATTAATAAACTTGTATCATACTGATTTGATTCTAATTTTTGTGGGACATTGTTTAAAAATTGTTGAAATGCATATATGGAAAATTGATTTTTTAAGTAAATGTATAACTTTTAAAATTGTATCCTACATCTAACTCCAAATAAAGGTTTAAAAACAACTATGAGCAATATAAGTAATACATTTAAAATACATTTAAGAGAAAGATAAGGAAAAAAGGAATGACTCATGAAGGTTAGTACACAATCTATGCATCTTGAATATTTGCACACTTACCAAGTATTTGGCTCCAGGGTTTCTGGCAGCTAATGCAAAGAGAGGAACAGAATCAAGTTTCATGGTATTATCTGGTAGACTGTGGAAGCTATAGCATTTCTGCCCCCTCATGTTTTCACATTCCCCTTTAGAGAACAGCACAATACTTTTCCACATCTGATGGGAATTGTCAATCATGGTGACAATGGAATTAAATATTGGGTCAGTAATTTGTAAATTGATTAATGCAGTTTATGAATTCAAAAGAATTACTGTCTTAAGTTTATAAATTTTCTATATCATTTCTTTTCCTGTCCTCTGAAAATAATTTTTTTTTTTTTTGAGACAGTCTTGCTCTGTTGCCCAGGCTAGAATGCAGTGGGGCTATCTTGGCTCACTGCAAGCTCCACCTCCTGGGTACACACCATTCTGCCCCAGCCTCCCGAGTAGCTGGGACTACAGGTGCCCGCCACCATGCCAGGCTAATTTTTTTCTTTGTTTTTGTTTTTGTTTCTTTGTATTTTTAGTAGAGACAGGATTTCACCGTGTTAGCCAGGATGGTCTCCATCTCCTGACCTCGTGATCCGCCCGCCTTGGCCTCCCAAAGTGCTGGGATTACAGGCGTGAGCCACCATGCCTGGCCTGAAAATAAATGTTTTATGAGTTAAAAAACCTTAGCAAATATAAACAATATAGCACTGACAGTGCCAACAGATATAATTTGTGTTTCAGTTTCAATAATTTTATTAAAAAGAAAAACATGTTTTTAACATTTTAGTCTAGAAAAGGGTTTGTCACCTAGAAGTATGTGGGTTTATGTTTATAGTCCACAGCCTTCCTTTAATATTCCAGCTGTGGGAAAATAGTTTAGTTTTATGAATACCTGTATCAAGTCAATGCAAAAATAGCAAGCTAGTCAAAAAATCCTGGAATGAATTTGACAGTTGGGACCTATGAGTTAAGATTAACAGCAAAAAGTCAACAGCCAAAAGTTAGAGCAGGATATGAATTATTATTTTTTATTTGAATATGAATGACATAAAGCAGTTTCGTGTTAAAGTTTCTTATTTTTTTCCAATAATAAGGAAACGCTTTTCTGGTTTCTTTATTCCTTTTTTCTTTGCCTTTTTCTTATGATAAAAAGGTACTTTCCTGATACCAGAAACCAGCAAAAGTTCACCTTATTGTACATTCCAAGTGTTTTAGAATTACTTGCAAGAAACTTCTGCAACTCTGATGAAGTCTGCTTGACCTTTCACCTGATGTAGAGTTCTGAACAGCACAAGTCCTGCCCTTGTGGTGTTTCAAATAGCCTTGTCTCAGTAAGGTTGCAGACACCTGCCAAGCACCAAAACCGGCATATAAATGAGGGGCATGACACAGTAAAGAGACAGATAGTTCAGCGTTACTGTTGTAAAGAGGGAAAATGTAATCAAGACCACATTGTTAAGAAATCACCGGTTCGGGGAATGAAGCACTTTAGAAAGAGGACATGTAGGGTTCAAAATTATATAACACAAATATGAAAAGCTGTAAAGTGACCATACTGCTCAGTCACTTGTGTTTTCCAATATTTAAGCTCTGAAGAGGGAACAAATCCCAGGTGTATCAGTGCTAGTTTCTATCATTCTTTGAAACAAAAACTCTGTTATTGTTGATGATGTTAATATTAAGAACAGATTGGAAGCAAACTTGGCATGCTATCAATACCAGGTAAATTGTGTATCACTGTGTAATTACTAAACACCAGGTTGACTCTATCCCCACTCTTTCCTCTACTATATAGTTATCAGAAAGAAGAGAGACTCTATCCCCACTCTTTCCTCTAGTATATAGTTATGAGAAAGAATAGAGAGCAATATTGAAATCAGCACCAGAATCACAACAAAGAAATCATGACACTATCCTGAAAAACTATTTTGTAGTTTGCCTCCATAATACCAAGATACTGCTAGAAGACTAGGGCAATGATAATAATAATTAGTTTGGGACTATCATTGGATTGCAAAACAGATTTTTTTTTTTTACAGTTTGGAACTATCATTGGATTGCAAAACAGAATTTATTTATTTATTTTTTTCTTGAGACAGTCTCACTCTCTCGCCCAGGCTGGAGTACAGTGATGCAGTCTCGGCTCACTGCAATCCCCGCCTTCTGGGTTCAAGCGATCCTCCCACCTCAGCCTCCCGAGTAGCTGGGACTACGGGCATGGGCCACCACACTTGGCTAATTTTCTTTTTTTTTTTTTAAGTTTTAAAATATTATTTAATATTTTCTTTTTTTATTTTTTATTTTTATTATTATTATACTTTAAGTTTTAGGGTACATGTGCACAATGTGCAGGTTAGTTACATATGTATACATGTGCCATGCTGGTGTCCTGCACCCATTAACTTGTCATTTAGCATTAGGTATATCTCCTAATGCTATCCCTCCCACCTCCCCCTACCCCACAACAGTCGCCAGAGTGTGATATTCCCCTTCCTGTGTCCATGTGTTCTCATTGTTCAATTCCCATCTATGAGTGAGAACATGTGGTGGTTGGTTTTTTATCCTTGCGATAGTTTACTGAGAATGATGTTTTCCAGTTTCATCCATGTCCCTACAAAGGACATGAACTCATCACTTTCTATGGCTGCATAGTATTCCATGGTGTATATGTGCCACATTTTCTTAATCCAGTCTATCATTGTTGGACATTTGGGTTGGTTCCGAGTCTTTGCTATTGTGAATAGTGCCACAATAAACATACGTGTGCATGTGTCTTTATAACAGCATGATTTATAGTCCTTTGGGTATATACACAGTAATGGGATGGCTGGGTCAAATGGTATTTCTAGTTCTAGATCCCTGAGGAATCACCATACTGACTTCCACAATGGTTGAACTAGTTTACAGTCCCACCAACAGTGTAAAAGTGTTCCTATTTCTCCACATCCTCTCCAGCACCTGTTGTTTCCTGACTTTTTAATGATTGCCATTCTAACTGGTGTGAGATGGTATCTCATTGTGGTTTTGATTTGCATTTCTCTGATGGCCAGTGATGATGAGCATTTTTTCATGTGCCTGTTGGCTGCATAAATGTCTTCTTTTGAGAAGTGTCTGTTCATATCCTTCACCCGCTTTTTGATGGGGTTCTTTTTTTTTTTTTTTTTTGTAAATTTGTTTGAGTTCTTTGTAGATTCTGGATATTAGCCCTTTGTCAGATGAGTAGATTGCAAAAATGTTCTCCCATTCTGTAGGTTGCCTGTTCACTCTGATGGTAGTTTCCTTTGCTGTGCAGAAGCTCTTTAGTTTAATTAGATCCCATTTGTCAATTTTGGCTTTTGTTGCCATTACTTTTGGTGTTTTAGACATGAAGTCCTTGCCCATGCCTATGTCCTGAATGGTAATGCCTATGCTTTCTTCTAGGGTTTTTATGGTTTTAGGTCTAATGTTTAAGTCTTTAATCCATCGTGAATTAATTTTTTTATAAGGTGTAAGGAAGAGATCCAGTTTCAGCTTTCTACATATGGCTAGCCAGTTTTCCCAGCACCATTTATTAAATAGGAAATCCTTTCCCCATTGCTTGTTTTTCTCAGGTTTGTCAAAGATCAGATAGTTGTAGATATGCGGCATTATTTCTGAGGGCTCTGTACTGTTCCATTGATCTATATCTCTGTTTTGGTACCAGTACTATGCTGTTTTGGTTACTGTAGCCTTGTAGTATAGTTTGAAGTCAGGTAGCGTGATGCCTCCAGCTTTGTTCTTTTGGCTTAGGATTGACTTGGTGATGCGGGCTCTTTTTTGGTTCCATATGAACTTTAAAGAAGTTTTTTTCCAATTCTGTGAAGAAAGTCATTGGTAGCTTGATGGGGATGGCATTGAATCTATAAATTACCTTGGGCAGTATGGCCATTTTCACGATATTGATTCTTCCTACCCATGAGCATGGAATGTTCTTCCATTTGTTTGTAGCCTCTTTTATTTCATTGAGCAGTGGTTTGTAGTTCTCCTTGAAGAGGTTCTTCACGTCCCTTGTAAGTTGGATTCCTAGGTATTTTATTCTCTTTGAAGCAATTGTGAATGGGAGTTCACTCATGATTTGGCTCTCTGTTGGTCTGTTATTGGTGTATAAGAATGGTTGTGATTTTTGTACATTGATTTCGTATCCTGAGACTGCTGAAGTTGCTTATCAGCTTAAGGAGATTTTGGGCTGAGACAATGGGGTTTTCTAGATATACAATCATGTCATCTGCAAACAGGGACAATTTGACTTCCTCTTTTCCTAATTGAATACCCTTGATTTCCTTCTCCTGCCTAATTGCCCTGGCCAGAACTTCCAACACTATGTTGAATAGGAGTGGTGAGAGAAGGCATCCCTGTCTTGTGCCAGTTTTCAAAGGGAATGCTTCCAGTTTTTGCCCATTCGGTATGATATTGGCTGTGGGTTTGTCATAGATAGCTCTTATTATTTTGAGATACGTCCCATCAATACCTAATTTATTGAGAGTTTTTAGCATGAAGCGTTGTTGAATTTTGTCAAAGGCCTTTTCTGCATCTGTTGAGATAATCATGTGGTTTTTGTCTTTGGTTCTGTTTATATGCTGGATTACATTTATTGATTTGCATATATTGAACCAGCCTTGCATCCCAGGGATGAAGCCCACTTGATCATTGTGGATAAGCTTTTTGATGTGCTGGGGGATTGGGTTTGCCAGTATTTTATTGAGTATTTTTGCATCAATATTCATCAAGGATATTGGTCTAAAATTCTCTTTTTTGGTTGTGTCTCTGCCCGGCTTTGGTATCAGGATGATGCTGGCCTCATAAAATGAGTTAGGGAGGATTCCTTCTTTTTCTATTGATTGGAATAGTTTCAGAAGGAATGGTACCACTTCCTCCTTGTACCTCTGGTAGAATTCAGCTGTGTATCCATCTGGACCTGGACTCTTTTTGGTTGGTAAGGTATTGATTATTGCCACAATTTCAGCTCCTGTTATTGGTCTATTCAGGGATTCAACTTCTTCCTGGTTTAGTCTTGGGAGAGTGTATGTGTCGAGGAATTTATCCATTTCTTCTAGATTTTCTAGTTTATTTGCCTAGAGGTGTTTGTAGTATTCTCTGATGGTAGTTTGTATTTCTGTGGGATAAGTGGTGATATCCCCTTTATCATTTTTTATTGCGTCTATTTGATTCTTCTCTTTCTTTTTCTTTATTAATCTTGCTAGCATTCTATCAATTTTGTTGATCCTTTCAAAAAAACCAGCTCCTGGATTCATTAATTTTTTGAAGGGTTTTTTGTGTCTCTATTTCCTTCAGTTCTGCTCTGATTTTAGTTATTTCTTGCCTTCTGCTAGCTTTTGAATGTGTTTGCTCTTGCTTTTCTAGCTCTTTTAATTGTGATGTTAGGGTGTCAATTTTGGATCTTTCCTGCTTTCTCTTGTGGGCATTTAGTGCTATAAATTTCCCTCTACACACTGTTTTGAATGTGTCCCAGAGATTCTGGTATGTTGTGTCTTTGTTCTCGTTGGTTTCAAAGAACATCTTTATTTCTGCCTTCATTTCGAAACAGGGTTTCACCATGTTGGTCAAGCTGGTCTCAAACTCCTGGCCTCAAGTGATCTGCCTACCTCATCCTCCCAAAGTGCTGAGATTACAGGTGTGAGCCACTGTGCCAGCCCAAAACATGTTTGAAATTTTAACTTTAAGAATCCTCTTTAATCGAATAGAAGGAACAGGATCATTTAGCACACCAAAGCAACTAAGCTGATTTGTTTTACCTCACCTTGCTGTACCACTCAATAACAACAGAAAATGGCAGCTTGCCCAAGTATTGAGTTTTGATTTCCAAACCAAATAATTTCAAAGAACCTGCATTATGCCTGCTACTCACCCCCACCGAGTATGACACAAAATATTTCATTGAACTTTGATTTCAAACATGCCTCTCTAAGTTGATCATCCTCCTCTCCAGTAGACACAGACAGCATACTATTAGCAAGGTGATAGTTACAGGATGAAACGTGGTTAGCAGATCAATGAGGGCAGTCAAAACAATACAAAAATTACAGGACAGAATGAAGGGGAAGGGACTGTGCAAACCAAACATCTGCCCTGTAAAGAAAGAAGGCATGATTACAGGATATAAAGATCTTAGAGGTAAGAGCATAACGTGAGAAAAGGAAATTGGCATGACAGTGATAAATAAGTCTAAATTTCCTTTTCAAGGAGGAATAGTGGAGCCAAACTAATAAAATTTTTAAGAAGTTCTGAAAGTAATAGTTGAAACTGATGCTGAAAAATGTCTCCATGTTGAGCCAATGAATATTTAAAATTCCTATATCTGAAACCAAGTCATCTTTCATCAAAATTCTCCTCCCCCTCGGCCTTTTACTTTTCAAGGCATCCCATTTACCTGGTTATCCTGAATTAACATGCTGGTGATATTTTAACATCTTTACCTTTAATCATCATATTCAGACAGCAAGTCCAGTCACTTTTTTGTCCTTAATGTTGCCTAAATTCTCCTGTCTTCCAGTCTCGATGGCCACTACTGTAATTCAGGCTCTTGCTTCCTCTAACTTGCACTCCAAAACTGTTCTCAACTGTAAGCTCTTCCTTCTCCCACCCACCTTATGGCCTGCTGGCCTGCTACTGTAGCAAGCCTAATACAAAACTATAATTTTGTCATTTTTGTGAACAGAAACACTCAGGGATTCCTGACTATACCAAGTAGCTTGAGAATACCCACTCCTTGAATTCAAGGTTCTCCTTTGCCTCAGCATGCTCCATCTTACAGCTTTATCTTTCACTGAATCTCGCCGCACGTGCAATTCCATAGCTTTTCCCAAAGACTCCCAGCTTTCCTTTCTTTAGTCTTTTGTTTTAGCAGTTCCTCCACATGTACACCCACATTTCAAAATTCAGCTCAACCGCTACTCATACATAAAGTTTCCATGACCCTAGGAGAGAGAAAGCAATTTCTCCAGAAACACTCCATCACTTTGTTTCTAAATACCTGGTACCATTCTAATTTGTTTTAAAATAGTTTATGTATTTGTCACAGCTCCCCCTGTTGGACTGTATGTCCTGTAGGGCAAGAACCCAGCCTATTCACCTACTGTGTAAATGATTGTGTGCTACATATATGATGGGTGCATAATGGCTTTTGATGAATAAAGTGATAAATGAAAAAATTCAGAGTCAACATTTTAAAGAAGTTGCTACTCTTGCCAAAATAGGAGAAAAAAATCAAACTAAATGCAGTTTATTTCTAAATAAAGTGAGAAGCATTTACTTCATCTATTTGGAGAACAACGTCGTTCCAACCATCATCATGGTGGGCTTAGCTGTTTTATGACATTACCAAACTTTGCAACCAAGAAAAATCTCTACAGATTGAAACCAGATAATATACTATGTTAATAATGGTTATATCTAAATTATAGTGTTTGGAATAATTTTAATATTTTTCATATATTTCTGCACTTTGTTATTGCATTTATAACCAGAAGAACATTATTAGTAATAAAAATATTTTAACAATGGATTATCTTTGAATCAAATATTTTAAACATACAAATTTTGACCTGAGTAGTGTTGAATCCTGAGGATACAAAAACCCTGCATAGGTTGAATGTGATATGGTTTATATTTTGGAAACATTACTCTAAAGATAATTTTAAAATATAGTGAAGGAAGTAAAAACTTGATACTAAGAGGCCAATAAAGAGGCTGTTGTTACTGTTGATGTAAATGATACGGGCTTGAACTAAGATTAAAGCAGTGGTAAGTGAAATGAGAAGACAGGGAAGAGAGAAAAGTTCAAATCATAATTAATGAGGTTTGATTACAAATTCAGTTAATCTGAGGGAGTAGGAAGACTTCTCAATATATGAGGGCCGTTCATAACCTGATAAATAAGGTTTGGCTTTACATGCTAAGGGGTGAGAGTTAATGACCAAGAAGTTAGTTGACAGATGGTTCTAACAGAAGCACTAACGGGGAAGAAAACCACAGGGGAAAGAAACCTAATACATGAGATCATAGCTTTTGGGACTTTTGATGAGTGTGAGTCATATAGTCGGAAGAGATAACAAGGTTTCCTATCGAAATTGTTTAAGGGAGGAGAGATACTGCCAAGACTGGCTCTGCTGGAAAGATGGTGACACATTTCTCTGAGAAGAACAAGTAGCTAGTCCCTGAAGGGAAATATGTGGCTCTAGAAAGCAAGTCGGGGAGGGGAGCAGATTGTAACTTAGGGTGAATGTTTGTGGGGTTTAGTAGTGGTGGGGAATCAATTGGTTTAATTTATTACTGATATTAATAATAGCAAGAAGTCCCCCTTTTAAAATTTTCTTTATTTCCATAGGTTATTGGTGAACAGGTGGTGTTTGGTTACCTAAGTAAGTTATTTAGTGGTGATTTGTGAGAGTTTGGTGCACCCATCACCTGAGCAGTATACACTGCACTCAACTTGTAGTCTTTTATCCCTCACTCCCTTCCCACCCTTTCCTCTTGAGTCCCCAAAGTCCATTGTGTCATTCTTATGCCTTTGCATTCTCATAGCTTAGCTCCCACATAAAACATATGATGTTTGGTTTTCCACTCCTGAGTTACTTCACTTATAATAATAGTCTCCAATCTTATCCAGGTTGCTGTGAATGCCATTCATTCATTCATTTTTATGGCTGTGTAGTATTCTATCGTATATGTATACCACAGTTTCTTTATCTACTTGTTGATTGATGGACATTTGGGTTGATTCCACATTTTTGCAATTGCAAATTGTGCTGCTATAAGCATGCATGTGCAAGTATCTTTTTTGTATAACAAATAAGTCCCCAATTTGCATTGTATATTTTTAAGACTTAATAACATACATTTTTTGGCATTTAGTGTAACTGCTCTATCTGCTGCTGTTTTAATATAGAAATGTATGGAAATATATTATTTTACTGCATTTATTTAGAGACATTAACCCTTCAAGTTCTGTAACCATAATTAAGCTTGAACCAACTATACAAAAATCAATTATACACTGTGTTACTGTGTAGAAAATACCTTTTTTTTTTTTTTTTTTTTTTTTGAGACTGAGTCTCACCTTGTTGCCCAAGCTAGAACGTAGTGGTGCGATCTCAGCTCACTGCAACCTCTGCCTCCCAGGTTCAAGCAATTTCTACCTCAGCCTCCTGAGTAGCTACAATTACAGGCACGTGACACCATGCCTGGCTAATTTTTGTATTTTTAGTAAAGAGGAGGTTCACCATGTTGACCATGCTCGTCTCCAACTCTTGACCTCAAGTGATCCACCCCACTTGGCCTCCCAAAGTGCTGAGATAACAGGCTTGAGCCACTGCACCCAGCCAGAAACAATCTTTAAGCTAGTTTTATAATGTGAACCCTATTTCAGAAAAAGCATTTATCTTACAATCATTATCTTCCATCTTTTACTAAAATACATATCATACCAATACATTCCTTATTTTTAGCTACAAACATTATATTGGACTATTAAATTCTGCTTCAACATTCCCTAAGAATCATAAAATGCCCATGACATGGGTTAGAATAGAAAAGATCCAAGTTCTGGTTCTATCTCCAGAACTTATTAGCATTTTGATCTTGGGAAAATTAATAAACCTTTCTGTACCTTGATTCTCTTGTCTATGAACATTTCAGCTGCAGGAACTGTAAATTAATTTGGTATAAATACTCCTACCATGGCAAATTTAACAATCCACTCACAAAATTCCTGAATATTTAATAATCAGCTCTAGCGAGTTGGTAGAATCAGTACAAGCTACATCCAGCATACTGTGGTTAAAGAAAATAGATAATAAAGTTTCAGGAAGCAAGAGGCCTCAGGGTAGAAATAATGCTTAAAAAGGCCTCAGGGTAGAAATAATGCTTAAATGCAAGTCAAAATTAGGTTTAACTCAACAGAAGACCCAGATGTAAGATCATTAACTTCAAAAGCCATGGAATTAATAATCATAACAATAGGTGGAAAAGATATATTAAATTGTAAAACTTGGAAGATTGAAACCTGGAGAAGAGGTGAGGGAGCTATAAAAAATGAAATATATGTCAATTTAGCTAACAAGTCTGTAAAGAGCAGGGTTTTCAAAAAGAGGTCATGTGATCACTTATTAAAAGTTGATATAAAAAAGAATATATACAGACACTGCAGAATGAATATAAGCTCACACGTACTATCATTTCTATACCAACAGCCAGCTGAAGGCAGCCCAGGTTATTAGATTGGATAGTCAACAAGATCGACTCTATTATGTTTTGCTCAAGATGAAGAAATAATAGAATAATGAATTAGTTGTTATCTAGTTCCAGATTTGTATTTTGTGCCATTACTTTCACGATTTCCTAAATGTGCATCTATTCCTACTCACATCCCATACTCATTCCCACCCTAGTTTAAAAAAAATTAATCCAAATATCAGCCCCACACTTAATAAAATTAGTAATTCCAGCATACTTTTTCTAGCTAGGGATTAAGAAATTCAGTTTTGTTTGTAGGGCTCTCACATGGCCCTTCTCCATCCCTGTGTTCAACTCACCAAATTTTTATTATTCCAACCCTATATAGATAAAATGTGTCAGAGACAAAACGTGATTCCTTTGGAGTCTGAATTAGGGAAAGAGAATCAGACTGGTGGGAGCATGGGAAAGCAAAAAGAGAAGGCAGATAAGCTACAAGTCTGCCTTTCTTCGTGGTCTAGGATCAAATATTTTAAATATACACAGCCCTCCTATTCAAATAACCCACAATCTTCCTGCATCCAACTATCACCAGACTGTTTCAAGTTAGCTCACTGCAACCTTGGCATTATCAGTACTGCACAAAGCCCTCTTCAGCACACAGCATAAACACTATTCTACAAAATCCCCAGCAAGCCTTTGATTTTTGGCAGTCAGCTTCTCTTCTGCTGATCCTGCCTGTTGCCTCATCACAAGTATTTTCCTACTTTGTCTAATAAATCTGCCTGTCTCTACCTACAACTGTCTTGGTAAATTCTTTTACCCTGTGCCACCGGCCCAGATAGTCTTCACTCCCTGGTGATAATTCCCCAAAAAATCTACACTACTCAAAGCTTATGCATATACCAAGATTGTCTTTCCATGAGTTTAGCCTTTGTTATTCTCCTTAGTGTTCTCCCTAAAATAAGTACCAAGTGCTTGAATTAAATCTTTATAGCCTATTTTTTTTCCAAGAAGCTGAGTTCTATTCCCTGAATCCACATATGGTCAGATCTCTACCTGCTATCAGCATGATTTGTGAATAGAACTCTTTCTAGTAGTGTCTAGTTGTTAAACTGGTCTTCCTAATACGGATTATTTCCTAAACTATATCTGACTTCATTATACCTCTTTTTTTCCATAAAGGTTTAGACTGTTGAATGTACTTACTCTTTGTGGTGAGTAGCTATACTCAATCTTGTTCCCCCACATCTGGCCTAGCTATATCTGTTGAAGTACTTCTTACCCCTGTGTTATTGCTCAGGACCCCTATGCCTACCCATAGGGTTGGCTTCTAGCTTGGGACTGACTTCATACTAAACTGTATTATACAATACCAAAACCAAATTTCCGCAACCAGAGTGCAGCATACTTACTGTACTCTACCAAAACCACAGTGTGTTTTCAGGTGGGAAGACGGAAAGGATTAATTCACAAGACCCATGCGTCTCATTTAAAAAGCAGCCAGGATACTTAAATATAAAGAACATCTTGAATAGACTAGACAGAGTTCATTCAGGTAATGAGGAGGGCATTCCAGGAATGCGCTATTAGATTATCTACAAAATCTGTTCCTTGTATCATAATACCATGCAAAAAGATATTTTTTTCTGTAGGATGTGTTGATAATTATTCTCTTGGGAGGGGAAAGTCAAGGAAATAAACTTTCTTTCAGATGCCTGCTGGTGAATGGAGAATAGAGGTTATCTATTCTAAATTCTTGGCTACAATTTTAAAGTAAATATAGATGCTAAACCTTCATGAAGATCTAAGCAATTTTTAAAATTGATGTCAAACTATGCAAAGAGGACTGAAAAAAAGTTTCACCTCTAAGAAAAAGTTTAAGCTTGAAAATGGGCAAAAGATACCATTTAAATGACCTTTCTGTGGCATGCTGGTTGTTGTCTAGTGGACTCCTCAAGGATAATTTGATTCTCTAGGAGAATACAATTTAGATTGCTTTTTTGTTGTTGACAAGGCTATTGTATGTTTTGTAGGTTTGGAGACTAAATTGTAGAAATGAAGTTACAAATGATTCCTCTTTATGGCAATATAAATTGTTCCTATTCATAACTGTGTAAATTAAATTTATTCAGTAAAGATAAAATTGAATTCCCCCTGGTTGAAACAATAATGCAAACATTACAATTTATTGTCCGATACAATATTAAGCAATTTGGTTTCTATTAGCAAATTCATTTCAGTATTGCCAACTGACTATACATACATACATATATATGTGTGTATATACACACATATATATCTCAGTTCCACAAATTTTCTTTTGAACTTTATCTTACTGCTTCTCCTGTTTAGAAATTAGTTGAGGCTGGGTGTAGTGGCTCACGTCTGTAATCCCAATACTTTGGGAAGCCAAGATGAGCAGATCGCTTGAGCCCAGGAGTTCAAAACCAGCTTGGGCAACATGGCAAAACTCTGTCGCTACAAAAGTACAAAAATTAGCTGGCCATGGTGGCACATGCCTATACTCCCAGCTACTCAGGAGGCTGAGGCAGGAGGATTGCTTGATCCTAGTAAGTCGAGGCTACAGTAAGTCAAGATCTTGCAACTGCACTCCAGCCTGGGTGACAGAGCAGGACCCTGTCTCCATTTTTTAAAAAGGAGGGGAAAGAAAATAAATTAGTTGAAATCTTTAATGCGCTTTTGTTTTACATTTGCCTGAGTCCTTACTTTATTTTTTCAGAAATTTACTGCAAACTAATCAATATCTTTTTACCCTAAAGAAATAAAGCCTCACCACAGAGATATTTTGGGTGTTGACTAGACAGTCCTTAGCCTCTGGAGATTCTCACATGAATACAGCTTCATTTCCTAATTTTACCACCTATTTTTTTCCCAAAGTTCATCTCTTGAATAAGAATTTCGTGACTGTCAATATTCCCAACTCTCCCATATCTTCTTTCACCACAACCCTATGTGTTTGTAAAGTCACAACTTCCTTTCCTTGGAAATTGTCACCTACCAATATCTGTCTTATCTCTTATAAATTGCATATTTAAATGTCTGTTACTTGCTAAAGGGAAGAATGCTTCTTGGGACCCAGTGGGTGGAGAAAAAAAGAATTTGAAAATTCCCTATTCTTAGCTGTTACCTAGTCTTTCCTCCAAAGAAAAACAAAAATGAAACAAGAGATCACACTGTGAGGATTAGATAACCTGCCAGAAAAACTTGACCAGGATTGCATAAGAGATTTCCATTCTTTCTGTTAACTTATCTTAGACTTGATTATGCTAAAACACATACCCTCACCAATTCCACCCCATACACACACCCCATTTATATTCCAAAGCCTTCTTCCATTAGCCCAACAATAAGCAGCACCTGCACAACTTCTGCCTAATTCCTGGTTTTTATTTCTGGTTGTAAGAGATGGCAAGAAGCAGAGTTATTAGGGACTAATGAAGTAGAAATATCTGGAAAAGTAATCCCACCTCACAAGAATTGAATCTGGAAATGTGAACATATTGATTCCACCATAATCTCTAATACAATCTCTTACTTAGAGATTGTTACCTGGCACATAGCAGGTACTCTATCAACATTCATTGCATTTTTTTTTTTAATGGTATCAGTAGACTTCACAGATACAAAGGTACTTGCTATACCCATTCCATGTCTTTGGCTTGATGGTCACTTGTGAATATAAGTATTTTCAATGAACTCAAGTCCCAAGTGACAAAAGTGTCTCTGAACCAAGGAATCCTATGGTTTATGAATTTTGAAATCCTATTTTCATTGTTTTACCTTGTTTCCTACTTATTTTTCTCATCAAAGAAAGTTTCTGGGATTTAACAACTACACTCTCTTTTCCTGAGTCATGCAGCTAACACCCATTATGTGTTCAGCTAACATTGTGTCTGGCTGCCTGAATTTCTTTTGACACCTTTGTTCTGCCAAAACCCTTCTGGTAAAAAGGAGTTTACAGGCAGGGGAATGTGTGGGTAGAAGGGGGAAAAACACATATATGCACAAACTTTGAAATGAAAAATAAACCAAAGCGTAATCTTTGTTGAATTGTGATGGGCTCAGCCACAGATAATGCTTTGCAGAGTTTCTCTCCTGTAGAGATTTGTCAGTGATTCACCTTGAATAGAAGATTGTTATATCCTATCTGAAAAAGGGTCTGTTGTTTTCCTCATAACTTTCATCTGCAGCTGATGTCAAACTTCAGATATTTCAGTCAGGGGTCAAAACTGTTATTGTCATTAAAATGAGTCTGGAGATTAACTCTAGAGATGTGATGTGAATAGTTAAGATGTACTCTCTGCACATTTCAAGTAGGCAATAAATTATTATTATTAACTATATTCACCATGTTGTACACGGTCTATCCAGAACTTATTCATCTCATAACTGCAAGTTTGTTTAATATATGTTGACTGTGCTCTAAATGCAAAGCTCTCCAGAAAGGGGACTAATTATTTTCTTCCAAAATTTTATCAAAGTTAGACAGCAGATAAAAGGCCAGCAAGAAGCAACAAAATATGTTTATGTAACCTCAGTGCTCTTAAATGACTGTACATGACACCATAATAACAATGCCTTTTTTGGTACAGCAGCATCTTTTCATGGAATAATGATCATTTTATGGACATAATTGAGGCTCAGTGAAGTTAACAGCATGTCCAGGGTCCCACAGGTGTAAGTAGTGGAACTAGCACCTTTTCCTACTTGTCCTAGTCCATGTCCAGTGTTTTGTAACCACGCAGTGGGTTCATTTTGCCCGCTCCCTGGATAAAGCTGATTTATCAAGACAGGAGAATTGCAATAGAGAAGGAGCTTAATTCACACAGTCAGCTGAACGGGAGACCAGTTTTATTATTACTCACATCAGTCTCCTAGAAAATTCAAATTCAGAGGCTGGAATTTTTCAAGGATAGTTGGGGGGAAGAAAGAGCGGTCACTAGACAATAAGAACTTGCTGCTGATTGGTTGAGGGTGCAATTATAGGGATATGGTAAATGATCCTCATGTATGCTGAATCACTTTTGGGTGGGGCCACAAGAGAGGTTGGTGTGTCCAGGTGGAGCCATTAATGGTCAAACATGCAAAAAATCTGAAAAGACATCGCAAAAGGCTAATCTTAGGTTCTACAATAGTGACATTATCTGCAGGAGTATGTGGGACAATTGCATATCTTGTGACCTCCAGAATAATAGCAGGTAATCATTTATGTCTGCGCCTTAGCAGAATTCAGGCTTCTCTTACCCTCTTAACCTGGTGGTCTCTCATTAGCTTTACAAAGGAGGTTGAGTTTTGGGAAAGAGCTATTACCATTTAACCTATAAACTAAATTTCTCCCAAAGTTAGCTTGGCCCAAGCCCAGGAATAATTCAGGGCAGTTTGAAGGCTAAAGACAAGATGGGGGAGAGGTTAGATTAGATATCTTTTACTGCCATAATTTTCTCACTGTTATAATATTTGCAAAGGCAGTTTCAATTTTCATTGAGCCAAACTGATGTATCCCTTTCAGTATACGTGGAAATCTATATATACAGAGGATATATTTTAATCCCCAGTGGAAGAAAAATTGGGAATAATAAAATGCTTTGCATTACAATTCTAGTGAATTTTCTTAACATTTGAGAACATATGAGCAACCCTCCTGAAGATCTTAAATAATAACAGTGCTGGTGTTTGTTTTACATCTAAGGAAACCTAACAACCAGTTATTTGCCAAGTCCTCTCTGGGTATGTTAATAAGGCGTTAGCTATAGTATTTAAATATCTATTCCCTACACCCATTTAAAAATAAACCTGATTATTCAGATGAGGAATCCGAGACCCAAGCAGTTTACAAGATCCTGCAGAGTTAATGACAGAATGGAAGGAATAAATTTTAGGCCCAAATTTTGTAACTCACCTAGCCTGGAAACCAACATGACTATTATTTCTGGAGTGGCAGAACATTGTCTCAGATCACAGTTCATTTAAGTGAGTGGGAAGATAAGAGTTACATAACATCTTTCATCTCCAGTAAATTTTGTCAGTAGAAGTCATTTACATTCTGGCAACAAGCACCCCCTGATATTCCTGTTGGTGCATTCTATGTAAAAGGCCTGCTGTGACCTAGAAAATGGTGAATTCATTTGCATAATCAGTTCACGCACTGTCCTTGTGCTGAAGTATATTTAGAAGGGCTATGTTTACAAGAACAAGATCAAGAGCTTTTGAGAAAACCCACATGGCCACTTTTTTAAAGTCTTGGTGAAATGTACTATTGAAGAGGGGCTATAGTTTCTTGCCAATTTGGGATTAATGTAGTATTTTATAAGGAGAGGGATTAATTTATAGAACATATTACTCCAAAAGAGGTCTTACTCAAAAAATATAAATGCAGTAAGATACAGTTGGAAGCATTTATTAATGCCAGGGATACACATGGGTTAGCATTAATTTTGCAGTCAATTATAGGAAGACTGTACACCTTCTAATCCTAGCATGGCCACTGATTAATCATATCCTCTAGCCATGCCATTTAAAATTGTTTGGATTCTACCTCCTCATTTGTGGAATTAAAGATTGAATTCATAAGTCATTGACTTATTGTCCCTATGTAGAATTTAGCCAGTATAGATTTTTATTTATCCAGCTCAGTGTTTTTAAAAATGTGAATATGAATGGAATTTTTAATACTCCTTTGAGTTTGCTAATATTGCACATACCTTTCCCAGCACGGAAAACATCAGAGTCTTCTTCACCCCTCTCAGAATTACTCATTGAATTACATATCTCAACATCTATTTTGACCACTCCTGCTTCTTTAGTTGTCAAGTTAAACTCAATGACTGAAGAAAGGGATTCTCTCATTTGAGGCACCTTCTCTAAGAGCTATACAGATACATAAACTGCAGGTGGTGAAGCAGGGTGGTGGAGCTCTGAACTATTATCAACCTGGCACTAGCTTCTTGCCTCTTGAAGACTGCATTGCAAGCTGAAGCAAATGAACTGAAGTGTCTCGGTACTACAGAATCAATAAGTCAGCAAGAAATGCCTAAAACCTTCATGATAGCATTATAAAGCCTATTCATATGGCATGATTGAGAGAGAGTCAACATCATAGGCAACGCAGTGAATGTAATTCTTGCTTTAATGTGTAATCTTTTTCTCTTTTCTCAAGCTTTTCTGGATCCAAAGTAACTAACACTTTCTTTTCAAAAACAGCATCTTGACTGCCCACTAATAAAATAAAGACTATTAGAACAAGAGCAACTAGGGGCAGCTAACTCCTTCAGATTCAATCTTAGTAAAGTATAGGAAACAGCTGCCCCTTGCCTAGATTTTGGCATTTAACCATTTATGCTGAGACCTGTGCAGAGGTCTGTGAGATACAACAGCTGCAAGATTGCCTGGCTGCACATAAGATGGGATACAAGAGAAATTAAAGAGCAGGTGTAAGTAAAATATGTGTATGAAATAAAAGCTGAATAGTCATTAGATACAGAGTGGAGAGAGTAATCTGAAAGCTTTTACTTTGTAGTTTGATCACTTATTGTATTATTGATAATCTTATTAAAAATGTTTTTCCAATAAACTCAGTAACATGTATAAAAAATAAAATACATGTTAAATAAAAAACTAAGTACTTAATTTTCATTTTGCAGAAGGTTAATGAAGAAAATGTAATATGCACAAAACATTTTTGACATTTATTATCTACTGTGGGAGCAATAGCAATATCACTGACCAAATGCAAATCAGAAGATACAAATTTGCTGAAAAACTATCAGCACTTATTTTAGACTTACTAGATCCTTAAGAAGGTTGTGCCTAAAGACAAAACAGTGATAAGACTTTTCATTGACATTACTAACTCTTGTTCTAAATTAATTTGTCATTTTAATGCATTTCTTTTCATATTTAAGCATGATAGCTATTAACAATTGTCTCCATTAATTGAAGATAAATTTTACAGTTAGTCATTTTATATTATGTCATCAGATTTTTCAAATAGAAAATTAAGTTATGTAAGGGCTTAAGATTTTTATTCGGATAGTAAATATTTTCTGGTAGGTAAATAGAACGAGAAAATCTGTATACATAATATATAAAGATATTCAGTATATATTTACTGAACAAAAAGAACTTTGTGTATAGCATGCCACATTTATGTAAAACAAAAAATATCTATTTTTGCATTTATTGCTTTTAAAAAGCCCTCAAAATTTGAAGAAAGTGTTAA
This sequence comes from Homo sapiens, assembly GCF_000001405.40. Classification (NCBI taxonomy): domain Eukaryota; kingdom Metazoa; phylum Chordata; class Mammalia; order Primates; family Hominidae; genus Homo; species Homo sapiens. The sequence continues at coordinate 86,768,443 of NC_000005.10, forward strand.
ACAGTGGGAGAAAGTGGGAGAGATAAGACTTGGTAGGTGGGAATTAAGAAATATGCCTACAACTTTAGACATAATTTAGAATTTATCCTGGATACATTTTATTTACACATTTATTTATGTTGCTTTTTCTTGTGAAAGTGGTAAGAACCAAATATTATGGTTAGATGTTTAATGATTTATCTCTTTGTCTGCATAGTAAGTACCTTTAAAATATTACTAAGTGGCAATTTCATATTGGGGATCTATTGAACTCCATTAGTCAAAGTTTTAGTTGTTTCATATATATCAAATTAAGCTTCTTCCTGGACATCCAGGATTTTCCATACATCCTCTCAAATCTAAATGGAGGCTCCCGAGACTCAACTCTTGCATTCTGTGAGCCCACAGGCTTAAAACCACATGGAAGCCACCAAGGTTTATAGCTTGCACCCTCTAGAGCAGTAGCCTGAGCTGTATCTGGGGCCTTTGAGCTGAAGCTGGAGCTGGAGCAGCTGGGATGCAGGGAGCAGTGTCCTGAGGCTGCACAGGGCATTGGGACACTGGGCCTGGCCCACAAAACCATTCTGTCCTCCTAGTCCTCTGGGCCTATGATGGAAGAGGCTGCTGTAAAGATCGCCAAAATTCCTTTGAGGCCTTTTCCCCATTGTCTTGACTATTACCAATTGGCTTCTCTTTCCTTATGTAAATTTCTGCAGCCTGCTTAAATTCCTCACCTTAAAATAGGTTTTGTTTTTTACCACATAGCCAGGCTGCATTTTTCCAAACTTCTATACTCTCCTTTCCCTTTAAATATAAGTTCCAATTTTAGGAGATTTCTTTGCTCATGCATATGAACATAGGTTGGTAGAACAAGCCAGTTTACATCTGAATGCTTTGCTGCTTAGAAATTTCTTCTACCAGATACCCTAAATAATCATTCTCCAGTTCAAATTTCCACAGACTCCTAAGGCAGGGGTACAATGCACCCAGCCTCTTTGCTAAGGCATAACAAAAGTCACCTTTGTTCCAGCTACCAATAAGTTCCTTACCTCCATCAGAGACCTCCTCAGCCTGGACTTCACTGTCCATATCACTATCAGCATTTTAGTTGTAACCATTCAGGAAGTCCCTAGAAAGTTCCAACCTCTGACCATTACCCACTTCCAAAGTAGCTTTCACATTTTCAGATACCTTTATAGCAGTGCCCTACTCCTCAGTACCAATTTTCTGTATTAGTTCATTCTAGCACTGCTAAAAAGATAGAGCTGAGACTAGGTAATTTATAAAGAGAAGAAGTTTAATTGGCTCACAGTTCTGCAGGCTGTCTAGGAAGCATAGTAGCTTCTGTTTCTGGGGAGGCCTCCAAAAACTTACAATCATGGCAGAAGGCAAAAGGGAAGCAGGCATATCTTACATGGCTGGAGCAGGAGGAAAAGAGAGGGGAGAAGTGCTATGCACTTTTAAACAACCAAATCTTAGAATAACTCACTATCATGAGAACAGCACCAAGGGGATGATGCTAAACCATTCATGAGAACTCTACCCATATGATTCAATCACATCCCACCAGGACCCACTTCCAAAATTGAGGATTACATTTCAACATGAAATTTGGGTGGGGACACAGATTCAAGCCATGTCAACATCAGTGGCCATATAGGTTATTTCCATATCTTGACTATGGTGAAAAGTACTGCAACGAAAATGGGAGTGTAAATATCTCCTCAAGATCTTGGTTTTAATTTTTTAAATAACAACCTAGAAACAGCTTTGTTGGATCATATGGTAGGTTATTCCACTTTTAATTTTTTGGTGAATCTTCATACTGTTTTCCATTCCCAACACAGGGTAAAAGGGTTGCGATAATCAATGCCTTTTTAAACATGACAAACTGAAATTCAGATATATTAAGTAAATTGCTCAAAGTGACAAGCCAACAAATGATGAAACTGGAATTCATACTCTGGTTTAATATCAAAAACTGCATTTTGCTCTTTTCTCTCACTTGCTTTGTTGCTGTTTTCGTTGTTGTTGGGTTTTTTTTTTTTTTTTTTTTTTTTTTTTTTTTTTTTTTTTTTTTTTGAGATAGAGTCTCACTCTGTTACCAGGCTGGAGTGCAGTGGCACAATCTCTGCTCACTGCAACCTCTGCCTCCTGGGTTCAAGCGATTCTCCTGACCCAGCCTCCAGAGTAGTTGGGAGTACAGGCATGTGCCACCATATCCAGCTAATTTTTTGTATTTTTAGTAGACATGGGGTTTCACCATGCTGGCCAGGATGGGCTCAGACTCCTGACCTTGTGATCCACCTGCCTCGGCCTCCCAAAGTGCTGGGAGTACGGGTGTGAGTCACCACGACCGGCTGCTTTTTTTTTCTCTCCCTTCTTTTCTTCCCTCTTTTCTTTCTTCCTTCTTTAATTTTACTGATTATTAATTCTTAATGTATATAGCAAATACATGGAAACTTAAACACTTGCATTATTCTGTACATTATTAAAAGTAAAGCTTTACATGCAATATATTTGACAGTTTATTTGAACAAAGAATAATTAATGAATTGGGCAGCACTCAGAACCTGAAGAAGTTCAGAAGGCTCTGCCCATAAGTGTGAGCGGTAAGTATTTATAGTTCACACATGGAAGCAAAATAGAGAAATCACCCAATGGACTAGGTATCTACCTTATGTGGGCATGGTGTGACAAGGCATTTGCCTTATTTAGGTATGATCTTATCAGTTGGATGCCTGTGATTGGCTAAAACTCAGCCAAGTGTGATTGGGTGAAACCTGGCTATTTGTTACAAAGACTATACTGCTAGTTAGGTTTTGCTTTGTTTATTACCAGGTTCAGTTGTAGTTTGTTACACAGGAACTCAGAGACAGCCTCAGGCTAGTGACTTCCAGGTTAAATTTAACAAAATTCTAAAGTGCTTAATAATTATTAGCAGGAGGATCTCCAAATTCCACATGTAGGTCAGAACAGATTAATTTGTAAGTCTCTCCACTGACAGGTTGACTTCTCTACCTAGAGCACTATTTCATCTTCACCTAACTTACTTTCCCCACAGATTTAAGCTTATAACCAGAAAAAGAAAAGAAGGAAGGAAAGAATGGAGAGGGAAAAGTTAACAAAACAAGAGTGAGAGAAAAGAGCAAAGTGTAGTCTTTGGCTTACACCAGGGTTTGAAGTTCAGATTCATCACTTTCCCTACAGATTTAAGCTTGGACCTCATTTCAAGAAGTCCTCCTGGATAACATAGGGAAGTATATATAATCTCACAGCGGTATACCCCTATATTTATAACATTTCTTACTCTACATTAAAATTGCCTATGCATTAAATTAAACATACCAATATAAAACTGGTTTTTAGTTGTAAGTGCAACTTTTCCATATGATTCAATATTGTTTGTTTCTTACTGTAGGTAATAAACCCTCAAAGGCAAAGATTGTTTCTTGATTACTAATAAATTCTCAGGATTTAGCACAGTGCCTGGAATACAATAGACATTCAACATATTTTTATGTAAATGAACAAATGAAATAGATGGGCAAATGAATGAGCAACAGATAATTTTACACATTATGAAAAAAGTGAAGTCTAATTAATCTACTGAAAACTATCCCATTAGTTTGTCCTCTACTTATCCAAAGCTATAACTTCATTTAAGATAGAAACTATATAGAGGTTTCAAAACAAAACATTTTCATATGCAATTTTTATATACTATTAAGAAATAAAAATAAGGCCTAGATGCATATGAAATCAATGGGAGGATTTACTGTTGTTTTTCTGTTTGGTTTCTTTTTATTTGGTTATTTGTAATACAAACACATATGACTTATTTTAACATAAATAGATGACTTCTTAAATTTACTCGTTATAAAGTAAAATTCTTTTTAAGATTTTTTTTATTATACTTTAAGTTCTGGAATACATATGCAAAATGTGCAGGTTTGTTACATAGGTATACATGTGCCATGCTGGTTTGCTGCACCCATCGACTTGTCATTTATATTAGGTGTTTCTCCTAATGTTATCCCTCCACCAGCCCCCCACCCCCCAACAGGCCCCAGTGTGTGATGTTCCCTTCCCTGTGTCCATGTGTTCTCATTGTTCAACTCCGACTTATGAGTGAGAACATGTAGTGTTTGGTTTTCTCTTCTTGTGTTGCTTTGCTGAGAACGATGGTTTCCAGTTTCATCCATGTCCTGGCACAGGACATGAACTCATCCTTTTTTATGGCTGCATAGTATTCCATGGTGTATATATGCCACATTTTCTTTATCCAGTCTATCATTGATGGACAGTTGGGTTGGTTCCAAGAATCTGCTATTGTGAACAGTGCTGCAATAAACATACTTGTGCATGTGTCTTTATAGTAGAATGATTTATAATCCTTTGGGTATATACCAAGTAATGGGATTGCTGGGTCAAATGATATTTCTAGTTCTAGATCCTTGAGAAGTCACCACACTGTCTTCCACAATGATTGAACAAATTTACACTCCCACCAACAGTGTAAAAGCCTTTCTATTTCTCCACATCCTCTCCAGCATCTGTCGTTTCCTGACTTTTTAATGATTGCTATTCTAACTGGCATGAGATAGTATCTCATTGTGGTTTTGACTTGCATTTCTCTGATGATGAGCATTTCTTCATAATTTTGTTGCTTGCATAAATGTCTTCTTTTGAGAAATGTCTGTTCATATCCTTCACCCAATTTTGATGGGGTAGCTTATATTTTTCTTGTAAATTTGTTTAAGTTCTTTGTAGATTCTGGATAATAGCCCTTTGTCAGATGGATAGATTGCAAAAATTTTCTCCCATTCTGTAGGTTGCCTATTCACTCTGCTGATAGTTTCTTTTGCTGTGCAGAAGCTCTTTAGTTTAATTAGATCCTATTTGTCAATTTTGGCTTTTGTTGTCATTGCTTTTCGTGTTTTAGACATGAAGTCCTTGCCCATGCCTATGTCCTGAATGGTATTGCCTAGGTTTTCTTTTAGGGTTTTTATGGTTTTAGGTCTAACATTTAAGTCTTTAATCCATCTTGAGTTAATTTTTGTGTAAGGTGTAAGGAAAGGGTCCAGCTTCAGCTTTCTGCATATAGCTAGCCAGTTTTCCCATCACCAGTTATTAAATAGGGAGTCCTTTCCCCATTGCTTGTTTTTGTCAGGTTTGTCAAAGATCAGATTGTTGTAGATGTGTGGTGTTATTTCTGAGGCCTCTTTTCTGTTCCATTGGTCTATATATCTCTTTTTGTACCAGTACCATGCTGTTTAGGTTACTGTAGCCTTGAAGTATAGTTTGAAGTCAGGTAGCATGATGCTTCCAGCTTTGTTCTTTTTGCTTAGGATTGTCTTGGCTATGCTGGCTCTTTTTTGGTTCCATGTGAAATTTAAAGTAGTTTTTTCTAATTCTGTGAAGAAAGTCATTGGTAGTTTGATGGGGATAGCATTGAATCCAAGAATTACTTTGGGCAGTATGGCCATTTTCATGATATTGATTCTTCCTATCCATGAGCATGGAATGTTCTTCCATTTGTTTGTGTCCTCTTTTATTTCCTTAAGCAGTGGTTTGTAGTTCTTGAAGAGGTCTTCACATCCCTTGTGAGTTGGATTCCTAGGTACTGTATACTCTTTGTAGCAATTGTGAATGGGAGTTCACTCATGATTTGGCTCTCTGTGTGTCTGCTCTTGGTCTATAGGAATGCTTGTGATTTTTGCATATTGATTTTGTATCCCGAGACTTTGCTGAAGTTGCTTATCAGCATAAGGAGATTTTTGGCTAAGATGATGGGGTTTTCTAATATACAGTCATGTCATCTGCAAACAGAGACAATTTGGCTTCCTCTTTTCCTAATTGAATACGCTTTATTTCTTTCTCTTGCCTGATTACCCTAACCAGAAATTCCAATACTATGTTGAATAGGAGTGGTAAGAGAGGGCATCCTTGTTTTTTGCCAGTTTTCAAAGGGAATGTTTCCAGTTTTGGCCCATTCAGTGTGATATTGGCTGTGGGTTTGTCATAAATAGTTCTTATTATTTTGAGATATATTGCATCAATACCTAGTTTATTGAGAATTTTTAGCATGAAGGGCTGTTGAATTTTGTTGAAGGCCTTTTCAGCATCTATTGAGATAATGTGGTTTTTGTTGTTGGTTCTGTTTATGTGATGGGTTACGTTTATTGATTTGTGTATGTTGAATCAGCCTTGCATCCCAGGGATGAAGCTGATTTGATCGTAGTGGATAAGCTTTCTGATGTGCTGCTGGATTCAGTTTGCCAGTAGTATATTGAGGATTTTTGCACTGATGTTCATCAAGGGTATTGGCCTAAAATTTTGTATGTGAGTGTGTGTCTGTGTGTGTGTTTGTCTGCTAGGTTTTGATATCAGGATGATGCTGGCCTCATAGAATGCGTTAGGGAGGATTCTGTCTTTTCCTATTGATTGGAATATTTTCAGAAGGAATGGTACCAGCTCCTCTTTGTATCTCTGGTAGAATTCTGCTGTGAATTTGTCTTGTCCTGGACTTTTTGGTTTGTAGGCTATTAATTATTGCCTCAATTTCAGAACCTGTTATTGGTCTATTCAGAGATTTGACTTCTTCCTGGTTTAGTCTTGGGAGGGTGTTTGTGTTCAGGAATGTATCCCTTTCTTCTCAATTTTCTAGTTGATTTGCATAGAGGAATTTATAGCATTCTCTGATGGTAGTTTGTATTTCTGTGGAATCAGTGGTGATACACCCTTTATCATTTTTTATTGCTTCTATTTGATTCTTCTGTTTTTTCTTCTTTATTAGTCTGGCTAGCAGTCTATCTATTTTGTTTATCTTTTCAAAAAAATGCTCCTGGGTTCACTGATTTTTTGAAGGGTTTTTTGTGTCTCTATCTCCTTAAGTTCTGCTCTGATCTTAGTTATTTCTTGTCTTCTGCTAGCTTTTGAATTTGTTTGCTCTTGCTTCTCTAGTTCTTTCAATTTTGATGTTAGGGTGTCAATTTGAGGTCTTTCCTGCTTCCTCTTTTGGGCATTTAGTGCTATAAATTTCCCTCTACGCACTGCTTTATATGAGATTCTGATATGTTGTGTCTTTGTTCTCATTGGTTTCAAAGAACGTCCTTATTTTTGCCTTCATTTCTTTATTTACCCAATAGTCATTCAGGAGCAGGTTGTTCAGTTCGCATGTAGTTGTGCAGTTTTGAGTGCATTTCCTAATCCTGAGTTCTAATTTGAATGCACTATGATCTGATGGACAGTTTGTTGTGATTTCTGTTCTTTTACATTTGCTAAGGAGAGTTTTACTTCCAATTATGTGGTCAATTTTAGAATAAGTGTGATGTGGTGCTGAGAACAATGTATATTCTGTTGATTTGGGGTGTAGAGTTCTGTAAATGTCTATTAGGACTGCTTGGTCCAGAGCTGAGTTCAAGTCCTGGATATCCTTGTTAATTCTCTGTCTTGTTGATCTGTCTAATACTGACAGTGGGGTATTAAAGTCTCCCACTATTATTGTGTGGGAGTCTAAGTCTCTTTGTAGGTCTCTAAGAACTTGCTTTATAAATCTGGCTGCTCCTGTATTGGCTGGATATATATTTAGGATAGTTAGCTCTTCTTGTTGCATCGATCCCTTTACCATTATGTAATGGTCTTCTTTGTCTCTTTTAGTCTTTGTTGGTTTAAAGTCTGTTTTGTCAGAGACCAGGCAAGATTGCAACCCTTGCTTTTTTCTGCTTTCCATTTGCTTGGTAGATCCTCCTCCATCCCTTTATTTTGAGCCTATGTGTGTCTTTGCATGTGAGGTGGGTCTCCTGAATACAGCACACTGATGGGTCTTGACCCTTTATCCAATTTGCCAATCTGTGTCTTTTAATTGGGGCATTTAGCCCATTAACATTTAAGGTTAATATCGTTATATGTGAATTTGATCCTGTCATTATGATGTTATCTGGTTATTTTGCCTGTTAATTGATGCAGTTTTTCATAGTGTCAATGGTCTTTACAATTTGGCATGTTTTTGCAGTGGCTGGTACTGGTTGTTTCTTTCCATGTTTAGTG